>NW_013171813.1:0-267463 GCF_000001405.40 Homo sapiens | reverse complement strand
GAATTCTTTTGAAAATAGCAGTGATGGACCCATTGCATGGTAACATAAGTAATATTTTGGCATTATTATGAAAATTGTTTCGACCTCGCAGAATTCCTGTCTTAATTGTCAGTTTGTTTTAGAATATGAAAGGGCACTGTGAAGGACAAAATTTGGAAAGTGAATTTTATTGATGTTGTTTTATGATACCTGATTCTGGAAAGAAACTATGAAATGTATTACATTTTAGTAAAATCTGCTTGCCTCCTTGTTTACTGATGGATACCACCTGAGAGAGAAGTTTACTCTCCTCCATTCTGACATTATTGGTTATAGTAATCAATTAACCACAGCTGCGGGGCGCGGTGGCTCACGCCTGTAATCCCAGCACTTTGGGAGGCTGATGCAGGCGAATCACAAGGTCAGGAGATCGAGACCATCCTGGCTAACACGGTGAAACCCTGTCTCTACTAAAAATACAAAAGATTAGCCAGGCATGATGGCGGGCGCCTGTAACCCAGCTACTCGGGAGGCTGGGGCAGAGAGTGGTGTGAACCCAGGAGGCGGAGCTTGCAGTGAGCCGAGATCGCACCACTGCACTCCAGCCTGGGCGACAGAGACAGACTCCATCTCAAAAAAAAAAAAAAAAACCACAGCTATGAAGTCTCTGTCATCTACAGATAGTGTTTGCTTTTCTCTGATGCTTGCTTGAAGGTTCTCCTCTAAGCTACAGGCTGCAGTTGGTGTCATCAACGAAAAAGAACAGTTTTAGAGCCTGGTGGTAAATGACTGGACCAGATACTTCCAACTGTCTGCATTTTATAGACTCGTGAGCAAGGCATCTGAACTGATATCACTTAAGCAGCTCTCAGATTGTAACAGTGGACTGAATCAGGATTTCTAGGACTCTTTTTTTTTTTTTTTTGACAATGATGTCGTTTATTTAAAATGTTTACTCCAAGAAATATATATAATAAGACAATTACAGCACTAAACCAGGCACCTTCGACCAAATCACAACCTCCTGTTTGATTCCCCTTCATGCTAAGCCTCTTTCAAATTCTTTTTCCTGAGCTGGAAGACCAGTTGGATGCCCACAGGGTCAGCGCCAAGCACATTCCCAGCTGGGCAACTGTGTACCTTTCTCTAGGAGTGCACGACACCCTTCCCCCACAACTCCTTGTTTTAAAGGATTTAACCCATTAGGAAGCCCATTTTTCAATCTAAGCCAGAAGGAGGTGCAGGACAAGGCAGTCTTCACTTTGAAGGTCCCTTTCCTGCTCCAGTCCCTGGGCTGGGGTTCTAGAAGAGGCTGGCTGCTGGGTTTACATGAGGCCACCGAAGATCTAAGTTCTAGGACTCTTTTTTAATCCACAAGCAGACGACTTCATGAAAGCAGAGAATGCGGATCCAAGATCCAGTGGAACAAGAATTTATTTCATGGGACTGCATGAGGTGCTGTGGGAATTTCATCATAGTTATTTCTTTAAACTCTTGTTAATGTTGTTTCAATGTTCTATTTTCAGGCTCTAAGAGGAAACCTTTTCTCTTCTTTGGCTCTCTGTAACCCACCACAATTTAGTGGACTCTGCTTTTATATACTGCAATACAGCATTTTAAAATGAGACTTGGCTCTGGCTGGTATGCAGGGGTACCTCATTGCGGTTTTAATTTGCATTTCCCTAATGGCTGTTGATGTTCATCATATTTTATGTGTTTGTTTGCCACTCATGTATCTTCTTCATCAAAGGGTTAGGAAGTAAGATTCTTTTTTTTTTTTTTTTTTTTTGAGACAGAGTCTTGCTCTATTGCCTAGGCTGGAGCGCAGTGGTGTGATGTTGGCTCGCTGCAGCCTCCACCTCCCAGGCTCAAGTGATCCTCCTGTTTCAGCCTCCTGAATAGCTGGGACTACGGGCACGAGCCACCACACCCGGCTAATTTTTTGTATTTTTAGTAGAGAGAGGATTTCGCCATGTTGGCCAGGCTGGTCTCGAACTCCTGACCTCGGGTTATCCACGCCTTGGACTCCCAAAGTGCTGGGATTACAGGCGTGAGCCACCGTGCACGGCTTAGGAAGTAAGATTCTGAAGGGCACTTTGATGCCATCTGTTCCAAGCTCCCCATTCTACAGATGGGGGACTTGAGATCCAAAATGAGATGTCTGGCCATTTTCCCACAGCCAACTGTGGTCTCTGAGTGGAAACCAAGGACAGATGTGGGGAGGACGGAGCACATTGAGCCAGGCCTCTGGGCAGTCTCTGGAGCCCCCGTCTCTTCGGCTTTTCTTCTGCCTCACTGTGGGATTGGTATGTGCAGGTCAGCTCAGCACAGCTGCTCCCTTGGCATACAGTTCGGAGGATTCACACCTGCTAAGCAGGAAAGAGTGTACCTAGTAGGCACCTTGTCTAAGGACTTCCAAACATGGAAGTACCTGAGTTCCTGTGAGCCCTGGGGCAGCTGCAGAACATACACCCAGAAGTAGAGGCAGCATCTTCTGATCCGGAGGTCAGAAGTCCAAACTGGATCTCACTTGGCTAAAATCAAGGTCTTGGCAGGGCTGTGTTCCCTCTGGCGGCTCCAGAGGAGGATCTCTTTCCCTGCCTTTTCCAGCTTCTAGACGCCACCTCTTCCATCTTCAAAGCCTGTTATGGCCGGTGGAGGATTTCTTCCATTGCGTCACTCTGACCCTGACAATTCTGCCTCCCTCCCTCACACAGAAGGGCCCCTGTGGTTACATTGGCCCACCCAAACAAGCCAGGATATCCCCCTATTTTATGGTCATCTGATTAGCAACCTTAATTCCCTTCTGCCACGTGAGATCATGTATTCACCATGCCCCAGGATTAGGACACGGACAGCTTTGGTGGGGATTATTCAGCCCTCCACAGCTTGCTTGGCCCCTGAGACTTGATTGTTCTGGAGAGGAGAGGGGTACTCGGTGAGGGGGAGCCCTGAAAGGGGCAGGTACCCCTAGGTGTGTGGGTTCAGTGGATGTAGGCAGGAAGAGCAATACATGAGTCAGCCACCCTTGTGGGCTTCTACTGGGGGAGCCGCCAAAACCTGTCTCACATGGTCAACGTCCTGTGGAGAAAAATATGGCCGGGGAGGTTGTAGAGTGTAGGGTGGTGGAAGGCTGCGGCCTAATCGGGTTTCAGTGAGAGAGGTGACATTTGAGCCAAGCCTGGAAGGAGAAAAGGAGCCACGCTGCAGGCTGGGAAAAGAGTAAAGTCCAAAGACCCAGCAGGCCTGCAGGGCCCTTCGTGAGCTGGTCCTGGCTACCCTTTGAGTTTTATTTCTTGCTTCTCCCTCCGAGCTTCCTCTCGGTTGAGTGGCTTGCAGTTCCCCGACATGAGCCAGGCTACCTCTGGCCTTGGTGCCACTGTTGATGCTATTTTTTTTTCCTGCTTGTATTTAGTCTGTTCTCACGCTGCTAGCAAAGACATACCTGAGAGACTGGGTAATTTATAAAGGAAAGAGATTTAATTGACTCACAGTTCATCGTGGCTGGGGAGGCCTCAGGAAACTTAGAATCATGGCAGAAGGGGAAGCAAACGTGTCCTTCTTCACCTGGCAGAATCAAGAAGTGCTGAGCAAAAGGGGGAAAGCCCCTTGTAAAATAACAGATCTTGGGAGAACTCACTATTGTCAGAACAGCATGAGGGTGACCGCTCCCATGATTCAATTACCTCCCATTGGGTCCCTCCCACGACACATGGGGATTATAGGAACTACAATTCAAGATGAGATTTGGGTGGCAACATTGCCAAACCATATCACTGCCTGAGATGGTTTTCTTTCCTTTTACCCCTTCTCCTGACCAAATCCTACATTACTTCCAGGTCTCTGCTTATTCCTCACCTCGTCCAGACTTCAGCCCAACTCCAAATCTAGGTTAGGGCTCTCTTCCTGGGCTTTCTTTGAACCCACTAGTATCATCACACTGAGTTTCTAGTTTCCTCTTCTCAGCCTTTAAGCTTCCAGCAGCCAGAGATTGTTGCATTCACTACTGTGTCCCTAGCATCTAGCCTGGGGCCTAGATGGTGGCAGATGTTCAATGAATATCTGAGGTGAATGAACACTCTCTACTATTTATTCAGCCCCTGTACTGAAAAGTATAGCCATTGTGAACACAAGTCATGGGATCAAACTGCTTCTGGTTGAATTCTGACTCTACCACTGACTTGCTGTGTTACTTTAGGTAAGTTGCTTTGCTGATCTGTGCCACTGTTTCTATAAAGAGGAGACAATAGTAGTACCTTTCCCACAGGACTGGTATGAGGATCAAGCTAGCTAACCCCAGGAATATGCTTAGGAGAGAACCCAACACAGGGTATGTGACCCCAAAACCTGTTCTAATGGTATCACCTTGTACTGGTCTTTAATATTTTTTGTGTGTGCTTTTACCTGCTCAACTTTTAGCCACCAATTACCCTGAAACAAAACAAAACAGGGCATGAAGTCAAGGTCCAAAATACTTTGATCATCAGAAGAGGAGCCCTGTTGAGGGATTCCATGGTTCTCTGTGCTGGGCCATTTTCTATTTCCTGACCAGTTTTCCTGATACGACACTTGGAGACGCCGTCACCCCACATATTCTTCTTGGCTTTAGCTAGGAACTACATCTAGCCACTATACCTTTAAAACAACAAGAGCCCCTGCCTATATGTGTGTGTGGCTCCTGACCCAAAGCCCACCCGAAAATGTGATGGCCACTCCCTCTCTGGTCTGTCTTCTCCATCAGATCTAGTCAGTGCAGTGCTCAGCACCCAGGCCACTTTAAGGAACACACAAAAATGTCCTAATTTCTTTTTAAAAGCTGAGGAAAGATGACATCTTAGGTTGAATAAAATGTTTTAGTAAAGAATATCAACATATTCGTCTTTATACCAATGCAGTCATACAGTATATGTTACAATACTTTTTATGGAGGAAGGTGTTCACCAAAGCAAAAGTGCCCAGGGCCCACAAGAGTGAAAACACAGCCCCGTTCCCTCTGTTTCTCTCTTAACCCTTACCCAGAACTAGAAGAAGGAGGGCTGAGAAGTTTCTAATTTGTTATGACTCCAACAGGATGCAAATATGCCTTGGGAAGAAGGGTTTCTTCTGGATGAAGTTCCAGTCTCACTCTATGTGTCACACCCAATCCCGTGCCCCTCCACATCCACCGTCAGTCCTGCGTGGTCTCCCAGACCCCTTGTTGGCTACTTGTGTACCTGTGCACGCATTGACATATGCATCCCAGGCCCTCTTGCAGGTTCGTTTACATATATGCCCACGTGTTGACATATGCATCCTGTCCTTTCTTGCAGGTTCACTTACATACATGCCAACATGTTGACATAGGCATCCTGTCCCTTCCTGCAGGTTCATTAACATACATGTCCATGTGTTGACATATGCACCCCATCTTCCATATGCATCCAACATCCCTTCCCCCAAGTTTTCAAGTTCTAACATGTTAATTCCTGTTGTCTTGCCCTTTCTTCCTTCAATCCTTTCCTACTGTCAGTGGGCCAAGAGTGAAGAAGACCTGGGCTCCAGTGCTTGAGCTAAACATGTGGCATTCTCTGTACAACTCTTTCCTTCTGGGTGGTCTTGTGATCTGGGGAAAGATACTTTCCCCAGAACTTGATGGCCTCGATTTTTTTCAGTTGTAAAATGGGGATTTCTTGGGTGACCACTGTTCCCTGCTGGGGACTGGATCACTCATCTACTCTTTGGAATTCCCATCCCCTGTCCCACATGTCTGATTCTAAGAGGGTCACCCCACCTGCTGGCCATGAGTGATTGGTCAGAGGTGAGCATGTGACCAAAGGTGGGTCAATTACAGCTCCTCCTCTGTGGCATTTTGAACTAGAACTAAGGGAAGAGAAACAGTCCTTTGCCAAATGTGTAGCTTTGAGCCAATGAATTCATGTGACAAATGTTTACTGAGCACCTACTGTGTGCTTGGCATCGTTCTAGATGGTGGGGATATAGCCAGCTAAGGTCATGTTTCCTGCCATATGGAAGACATCAGTCTGAGAAAATAAAGCCATCAGTTACAGCAAAGCAGAAATAAGAGAGAGAAGACTCCTGGCAGTATGTGTGTTCCCAGTTCAGGTTGTCCAGGAGGCCCTTCCAGACATATGAGATAGTCCAGCTTCTATCCACTAATTCTCTGTTTTGCCTGAGCCAGTCGTACCTGGATTTCTGTCACTTTCCAAAGACCTGACTACTGCAAAGGTAACACATTCTGACTGGCTCATGTCCTGAGGTTCTTGGAGCTGTTATTATTTTATCATTCCCTAAAGGGTTTCTCAAGTTAAGTTCAGACTCACACCCGCCCTCTTTCCCTGAAGGTGGAGTCACTCATTCATTCATTTGTGCACTCTTGTGGCCATGCACTCCTCAAAAAACACAGCCCCCACCTCTAGGAGTTCCCATTATCCTTTTGGAGGACTTGGATAAGGAGATAAGCAGGCATTGAAATCTCAGCCCTCATACATCTCAGCAGTATCTGATACCTTTGATCACTTACCTCATCTTCAGACACCACTTTTCACTTGTCTTTCAGGAAACCATACCCTCCTGGTTTCTCTCTGCCTGCCTGGCCGTGCCCTCTTCCCTTCCAGAGCTCTCACTATGGGAGGGCCCAGAGATCCTATCTCAGACCTCCTTTCTAGTATCTCCTGGGGGAATCTCATGCCATTCCCACCACCTTAAAACCCATCTTTGCACAGATGTTTTACAAATTCATATTTCTAGCCCCGACATCTTCCAGAACTTCAGGTTCACATATTCAGTGCCCACTGGTGTCTCTAGTTTCTGAGTGTGTTGGGTGTGTCCTCGCTATACCTCTTCATCACTCCCCACCCTTCCCCGCTTGTTTTCTGCCCTTGAGTCTGGCCTGTGTGGATTCCATTAGTAGGCTCCTGGCCCTCTGGCTTCAGGCAATGTGGAACCCTAGAAGGAGATAGGAAGGAAGCAGGGAGGAGGGGGCATGTGTTTACTCCATAAGAGCTAATCTGGGCTTGGCTGTGTGCTTGAACAGAACATGTGACATTCCCTGCACAACTCTTCCTTTCTGGGTTCCTCTCATTCCTTTGGGCCTAAGTGTGGTAACAGCAACTTCCCTGTCACTAGTCCCTGGTTCACCACTATCCCTTATGAGTCCCTTGTATTTCACTCACATGCATATAAAAGATGTTTGTGAACAAATCCTCCTTGAATGATATGAATGGAAGGTGCTGTCTGTTTTCTATTGGGATCTATACTGAATTAGTAACTTGTACTGGAGATGGCCCTAGGAAACAAGATCTGGATATTCTGGGGTTGGGTTGATAAATTATTCAAGAAAGACAGGGATGGCCTCTTTGTCAGAGGGAAACAGAACATGGATTTTTTTCATCACAGGTGGTGGCATCACAAATCCTCAAATGATCACTGGTAGGGACAGGGACAATAGGTGGGTAGAGGATAAAGCACCGACCGAGGCTTCAGATGGTTGTGGTACTTAGTTCCTATGGCAAGCAAAAGGAATGTAAAGATTTTGGGGTCATCTGGATCATTCTTGTGGCTCTAGAGAGTACGCATAAGGAAAAACATTTTTTGAAATAGGGTCTCACTCTGTCACCCAGGCTGAGTGCAATGGCGTGATCTTGGCTCACTGCAGCGTCTCGACCTCCCAGGTCAAGCAATCCTCCCACCCTCAACCTCCTGAGTAGCTGGGAGCACATGCGCATGCCATCATACCCAGCTAATTTTTTGTATATTTTGTAGAGATGGGGTTTCACTATGTTTCCCAGGCTGGTCTCAAACTCCTGAGCTCAAGCCATCTACCCACCTCGGCCTCCCAAAGTGCTGGGATTACAGATGTGAGACACCTTGACCAACTGAGAATTTTTAAAACTACAAATATACAATTAAGAGCATACATGAAGATTAAGAAGACCTCTAGGATGGCCTGGAAGGAGTTCCTCGTCTCCTGTGGTCCAACGGCAGATATGGCTGAACTGAAAAGGGCTGCAAGTTTGCAGAGGCAAAGCTCCTGCCCCAAGGTAAGGGTGCCAGTGGGGGAAAGCACAGGGCCCTGAGACATGAGGGAGGCAAGTAAATTTGAGTCCCTAATTTCCCCCGACCCCATCCCCTAATGTCTTTGAGCCTTAGTTGCTTTATCTGAAAATAGTATCCGTCTGGTAGGATTGTTGTGAGATTAAATGAGGTAGTGTTGTTAAAATACATCTTGTAGACAATCAATATGTGACAGCATGAAAAAAAATCTGTCATCTCTCTATTGTAGGATCTAAGAGCTCTGTGAACCCAAAGGCCAAGCTGGCCCTACACCAAGAGGCATGCGATCGGGTGTTGGGTAACTTGCACTTTGAGGAGGAGAAGTTAAGTTCTGGTGGTCTAGAGCTTCTGGCTGGAGGTCCTTCCTGCTTGGTGGAGATCACTTAGTCCCAGTGGTAGGGACCCCATTGGTATAAAGTGGATCCAATCTGCTGGATTCATACCCTGGCTCTGCCCCAACTGGCCAGGGCTCGTTACTAAACCTTTTTATTTATGTATTTATTTACTTATCTGTTTTGTTTAAATTACTTTTTGAGACAGAGTCTCAGTCTGTTGCCCAGGCTGGAGTGCAGTGGTGCAGTCTTGGCTCACTGCAACCTCTGCCTCGCGGGTTCAAGCGATTCTCATGCCTCAGCCTCCCAAGTAGCTGGGATTGCAGGTGCGTGCTACCACACCTGGCTAATTTTTGCTTTTTTTTTTTTTTTTTTTTTTTTTGAGACGCAGTCTCACTCTGTCGCCCAGGCTGGAGTGCAGTGGTGCGATCTCGGCTCACTGCAAGCTTCGCCTCCCGGGTTCACGCCATTCTCCTGCCTCAGCCTCCCGAGTAGCTGGGACTACAGGCGCCTGCCACCACGCCTGGCTAATTTTTCATATTTTTAGTAGAGACGGGGTTTCACTGTGTTAGCCAGGATGGTCTTGATCTCCTGACCTTTTGATCCGCCCACCTCAGCCTCCCAAGTGCTGGGATTACAGGTGTGAGCCACCGCACCCAGCCTAATTTTTGTATTTTTAATAGAGATGGCGATTCACCATGTTGGCCAAACTGGTCTTGAACTCTTGACCTCAGGTGAGCCACCCACCTTGGCCTCCCAAAGTGTTGGAATTACAGGCATGAACCACCATGCCAGGCCCAAAACCTTTTTAATCTTCAGTTTTCTTTCCTGGACAGTGGAGACAATCACAGCACCTCTCAAAGGATTAAGAAAGATGCTCCAGGTCAACTGTTGAGCACAATACTAATACTACCCTTAGTAAGACTTCATTGAACTTGTCAGCTATGTTATAATCTCAGAGATATAGAAAGAAACATGAAACTAAGAAGTGACTCAGGTTGGTGAAGAGATAGGCAATGAATGGTGAGTGAAAGCCATAGAGTCTTGGGGGTCCTATGCCCCACTTGGGTGGGTCCCATTACCCTCCTCCATCCACGTGAGAATAGGCCCTCCCTTTGTCAGGCAGAGCTGCTAACTGTAGAGAGAAGTTGACCACTAGACAAGATTGGGTAAGTTTCCACAGCAGGACCTTTCCATTTTATTGTCTGTAAACTCTTCTTTGGTAAACAAGAAACCCAAAGAGAAAAGGAGCACGCCGAGTAAAGAAGGCAAGGAAAGGGCGGGTGCCTTCCACACACAGGAGTTCTGAGAGGACAGCTACACCATTGGCAAGGTGGTGGATGGAACCTGGAAGTTTGGGGTGGGTGGTGGCATGGGGGACCGGCAGAGGGGAGCGAGAGGGAAGAGTCCACTCTGTTGGACATAGAAGCCTAAATCATACAGCGAGGGAGCTCATGCATCACAGCGAAGAGAATTAGGGACCCTCCACCCATGCCCCCATCACCTTCCATGTGTGTGATCCACTGAGCAAAGACTGCCTGGGCAGGGGTGGGTGCAGGGGGCTCAGGACAGCCCCCCAGCTGCCCATCCTCTATCTCTCATTTCCTGCTCTGCAGGCAGGTGTGTGCAGGCTGTAGGGGTGGGGGCGGGGCGCTCACGGTCTCTGAGTCTGGGTAGACGCATCAGGGCAGCAGAAGCAGGGTTTGGGGGAGGTGGAGAAGCAGCCCCCGTCCCCACTTTACATGGGGGGCTCGCTGCAGAGCACAATCTCCAGGTCCTTGCGGTAGAGCTTCCCTGCCTCTGCCAAGGACATGACGCTCTTTCTGTAGTTGGTGAGCTGTTGAATATTCATTTCCTAGGAAATACAGGGAGAGGGTAAGAGCAGGTTCAGGGGATGGTCCCGACGCAAGGAGCCCACGTCCACATTCACAAACACAAACACCCACACCTTTCTCTCATCTCATCCCAGGATAAGTGGCTTAGATGAATGCAAAGCATGGATTTTGGAGTCAGACAGATGGAGGTTAAAGCCTCTCTTTCACTTACTGGCTGCATTGCTTTGGGGAAGGTAGTCAACCTTCCTGAGACTCAGCTGCCTCACCTGTAAAATGGGTACACTAAAAGTTCATGCCTCATGGAGGTGTTGCGATGATTACGTGAGGGAATGAATATAAGCCACATCAGCAAGCACTTGAAAAATAAAAGGTAGCTATTGTGACAGTCATGATCTATGTATGACTTGTATATATTTCCTCGACCTCACTGGGCCTCGGTTAACTCAAGGCCAAACTGGCTCACTGCAGGTGATGAAGAGAATGCCAGGAAAGCTCCCTGGTCTTGCCTTCTAGCCTCCTGGACCACTCTTTCCTAAGTCTCATCTATTTAAGCAAGGAATTTTTTTTATTTTTTTTATTTTGAGGCGGAGTCTTGCTCTGTGGCCTAGACGGGAGTGAAGTGACACGATCTCGGCTCACTGCAACCTCTGCCTCCCGGGTTCAAGCGATTCTCCTGCCTCAGCCTCCTAAGTAGCTGGGATTACAGGTGTGAGTCACCGCACCTGGCCCCTATTTAAGCAAGGAAGTCTGCTTTTTTTTTTTTTTTTTTTTGAGATGGAGTCTTGCTCTGTGGCCCAGGCTGGAGGGAAGTGACGTGATCTTGGCTCACTGCAACCTCTGCCTCCCGGGTTCAAGCTATTCTCATGCCTTAGCCTCCCGAATAGCTGGGCTGGGATTACAGGCACCTGTCACTATGCCCAGCTAATGTTTGCACTTTTTTTTTTTTTTTAGTAGAGACGGGGGTTTCACCATGTTGGCCAGGCTGGTTTCGAACTCCTGACCTCAGGTGATCTGCCCGCCTCCACCTCCCAAAGTGCTGTGATTACAGGTGTGAACCACTGCACCCAGCCCCTATTTAAGCAAGGAATTCTAAATCCCAGCTTCTCCAGCAATAAAGCTCGCCAGCCTACTTCTTGTTCACTGGCTTCTTGTGTTCAGGGGCCACTGAGACAGGTGAGCCATGAACATATGCCCATTGTCTCATATAAATGGAGACCCATATTAAATACCAACACCTGATATGCCTGATGTTAAATACATGCTTTACAATGATTGCTTCGGATACAAATAACCAATGGGTCTGAAATATAGCAAGGTCATCATCAACACTGGAAAATGACTTAAACAACCTTTTCTTTCTTTCCTTCTCCCCCACTCTATCCCTCTTTTTTCTTTTTTCTTTTTCTTTTTCTTTTTCTTTTTTTTTTTTTTTTTGAGATAAGGTCTTGCTCTTGTCACCCAGGCTGGAATGCAATGGCGTGATCACAGCTCACTGCACCCTTGACCTCCTGGGCTCAAGCGATCCTTTTGCCTCAGCCTCCCAAGTAGCTACGACTATAGGTGGGCGCCACTACATCCAGTTCTTCTTTTATTCTTTTGTATTGAAAATGTTAGCAGATACTTAAAATTTTTTTCCCTCCTAGGCTGATGGGTCATTATCTCCATTCTGCTAATAAGAAAACTGAGGTACAGTCATGCTCATGAATATCTGTAATCTAATCATGAATATCTGTAATCCAAGCATGAGCCCTGAAGTCTAATGATTTCACTGGTGCACTATTCTGTCACCTCTTTCTCAGGGCTCAAGGGCCAGTCTTTTTTTCCCATTGTGCCGGGGCTTCTCTTTTTATGCCATTAATTTCTGGTTTGGTGCCATGAAAACCCAAGGGCACTTTGCAAGCATGTCTAGCTTTGAGAGGCACCTTCCCTAAGTTGTGATGTTCTTGGAAATGTCACATAACACTGGCGTGCACCTGAGATATCTGCCACTTAATCAGAAGCCAAGGAAGGGACCTCATCTATCAACCCCAAGCTTGGGACAACTTCCGCAGTGAACTGTGGCAGCGAGAGACTTAGCAGCATGGGGGAGGGGCTGCTTACTTCCTATAAGTTTCACTTAAAACTGGGGAAGGCTCTAGTGAGTTGCCATGGCCTTGGGAGTGCTAAGAAATACTGAAGTTCAATCCCATCAGCCTGTCCCCTCGAGGAGCCTCAAACATTAATCTGCTCAGAAACCTTATCACACTCCATGCAGGCACCATCCAAATGGAATGCGTGCATCTATGTGGGTTTACAAAAAAAAAAAAAGGCCCTTCCGTTCCAGCACAGGTGCTGTGATTTAGAGTCACGCGGCTCTCTCTTTCTACTCATTCACTCTCTCAATCCTCAGGCGCCAAATCTGAAACTTGGTCCAGGTGGAAGGCTCTCAGGTAAACAGCTTTGTTAATATTCTTGCTCTCTGACCTTCAGAGTGGCTTCTGAATCCCAACAGCAGAATCTTTACTTTTGTTTCCATACTTGGAGTCAAGCTGTGCAGCACCACAAGCTGTCCTTTGTGTGAACCAAGGAAGAGCTTAGTGAGTTGATGACCAGGAAATTCAGGTCACTCTGAGATTTAATGCATGTCTTCAGGGTTTATCCACCTCAGGTATAAGACAGAGTCTCATGAAGACAAACTATGCCTCATTCATACAATTACACATAAAGGTATTTTCCACTATGGTGCCCAACATTCCTTGGATACATACGGGCACATACATAATTTTCTCCTAGAATTTAGTGCCAAGAAAAAAGTTCAAACACCTGGTGAGTACTTCCTTCTTCCCAGGAAGTATTTGCTTCCTTATCATTTATTTTCTGCCTCTTTCAAGAGTAATTGTAGGTAACATTTAAATAAAAAAGATGAAATAAATGAAGGATGATATTTAAGATAAAGAGATCAGAAAGCACTTGGAAAGGGAGATGAATAGAGACTGCAGATAATTTTTTCCTGAAATTGAGCATTAAATTTAGCTCTTGCTTGTCAGCCAAGGCGGTGAGACAACTCAAGGAATTGTAGAGCTTTCATTGTCTAATTAAAGAAAGCAGCAAAACCAGTTGCTCAGAGAAAGACATTTTCCAGGCGGTGAACGAAGACAGCTGCAAAGGTTTGGCTCCTGGCTGCCGTTCCACCTGACTCCTCCACCCAGTGCACCAAACTGAGCCCATGGGAGGGTCTCCCAGGGTATTCCCAGGAGGCAACATCAGGCAAAATAATGGAGTTCACTTCTTTGCCTTTTCTTTGAGAGGAACAAACTCTTCAGTGGCTCCTTTTAACCCCTCCCCCAGCTCCCGATTCTGCAGTTCATCAATCCAGAATAGCCCTTCACCTCTCACTGGCCTCTGTCCTCCAGAATCTCTCTTTGTGTGGAAAGTGTTTTTTTGGTTGGCAATTTGGCTAACACTTTCACACGTCAACACTGTCATGGCCTCACAGCAGCATCCCCCACAACAGCCAGCAGATGGGTGCAACCCAAGCGTCCACAGAAGAGAATGGGTAAACAAAATGTGGTATATTTATACGATGCAGCATTATTCAGCTTTAAAAAGGAAGGGAATTCTGACACATGCCACAACATGGATAAGCTTGCAAGGACATTATGCAAAGTGAAATAAGCCAGGCACAGAAAGATTATACTATTTTCTTTACATGAGGTACCTAGAGCAGTCAAATTTACAGAGGCAGAAAGTAGAGTGGTTGGCAGGAGATGGGGGACAGGGGAATGGAGAGTTATTTTTTAATGGGTACAGGTTTTGGCGCTGCAGGATGAGAAGGTGGCCACGCATGTGCAATATTATGAATATGTTCAATGCCACTGGACTGTACACTAAAAATGTGAAGATGGTAAGCTTTCTGTCCTGTGTTTTTTGCCACAATTAAATTTTAAAAAGAAACATCAATTAATCAACCAACCAACCAGAAATCAAAAAACCAAAAGCAAACCCACAAAATGTCTATTGCCTTGCTGTGGCAGATCAGAGGGGAGTAGAGAGCAGGACCAGGCACCTTTCCCCTCCTCTCCTGCAGAAGCCTCTCCTGTGCCCTGGGGACAGTGGCCGGGCCTCAGGCTTGGCTGCTCACCTTTTTGTTTTTCTCGTACAGATCCTTCAAAAGGGCATCCAGCTCATGCTCGTCAATGTAGCCGCTTCTATCCTGGGGATGGGAGCAGAGTCAACCCAGAGCTCTAAAGCCTGGGCCCCTGCTGTCCCGACCCATTCCAGGGATGTCTAAGAGTCTAGCCTCTCCATTACTCTGTGCAAAAGGGGGTGTTCAGATCGTGTAATGACAAAATAATGTGTCCCTTCTGCCTTAACCAGTCATGGCAGGAAGGTGGCAGTGGGTGCAAGCTTTGGGTAGCCTTTCATTGTGGTGCTTTTCATGTGCGTTGAAAATTTAAGTGAGATTCAAGAAGCATTTGGTTAACTCCCTGAGTCCGGGGGCTATTTAAAGTTTACCTCCAACACTGGTTATGAAGAAAACCACCGGAGTCATGTGGGCAGGGGACAGCCCAGGGAGGGGTGGGTATGGAGATCATCTAACTTCCAACTTCCCAGAGAAAGACTTGGCCCTGGGCAGAATTGTGATCTGGCACCAGGGCAGTTCTGAGTGTCTCTTCCCTTTGGCTCCCGACAGCGTGGTCACACCCTAGTTCTAAGCATAGTCCTCCCCCAACGATTCTCGGCTGCACTCTGCAGAAACCAACCCCTTGGGCTCCATAGGCCACCGGTGGAGAATGACATTTGCCTTCTCATACAGCAGAAGATGCGGCAGGAAGAAACCACACGGCCCAGGCCACCCCTGGAAAGCTGTCTCTTCCCAGGGATGAAGCTGAGCCCTTCTGGACGGGCTGATGGGCTTCTGATTTTCCCTGCCATGCCAACTCCCTCTCTTACCTTGTCGTAAAATGTGAAGATCGCGTTAAACTCCTCTGAGGTCAGCTTCATGCCCTGCAAGAACCAGGGTATTAAAGACAGAAGCAGAAGCGCAGTGGTGTGTGTGTGGGTGTGCGTTTGTGTGTGTGTGTTTATGTGTGTGGTGTGTGCATGTGTGATGTGTGTGTTGTGTGTGTGGTGTGTGGTCTGTGTGGTGTGTGTGATGTCTCTGTGTATGTGGGGTGTGTGCGTGTGATATGTAGTGTGTGTGGTCTGCGTGTGTTGTGTATGTGGTGTGTGTGGTCTGTGTGTGTTTTGTGTGTGTGATCTGTGTGTGTTGTGTGTGTGGTGTGTTTTGTGTGTGTGTGGTGTGTGTGGGTGTGTGTAGTGTGTTGTGTGTGGTGCGTTGGGGGAAGGAGGGTGCAGGGCCAGGCTCAGAGGGATGAGGGAAGGGGGAAGGAAGGAAAGCAAAGTTTTACCTGAAATTTAAGCAGGAAGTTTTCCTGGACAGGCAGGAGTCTGGGGAGAAAATGTTAGAGCAGAGATGAGGAGACTGCACAGGCAAGGGCAAGCGGGAGAGGGGAAGGCAGAGGCGGTGCCTGCAGTTACAGAAATGATTTCTGAGCACTTCACACATAATGAATCAGTGGGAAGTTCAAAAACGAGGGAGACAGACAAGGTGAGGTGTTGACGGTCACAATTCTATCTTGCTTTGTCTTGAGCTTCTTGACACCCGCACCTGTCACTTTCCCACCAATGGATCTCAGAGACGGATAACACAGGAATGACCTGTGGGAGCCAGTATCAGTGACCCCGGGGGTGAGGTGCTTACCGGGACATCTCTGAGAGGCCCAATTTGCCATCCCCGTTCAAGTCAAACATCCGTAGCTGTTGGGGACAGAAAGGTGCCTGGGTTATTTGCTGTGAATTTCTCTGACCTGACATCCCCTTTTACTGGAGAGGATGGGAAGGAGGACGGGTGACACGTGCTCATGCTTCCTCTGAGGTCCGTAGGGGCCAAGAACCAACATGGGCTAAATCAGTCACGGGGGTCCCCTGGGTGGACCACAGGGACTCGTTCACTGCTCCTCTCTCCCCTCCTCAGGGACAGGGGCAGCTGAGGCACAGCAGGCCGGCACTAAAGGCCCACTCTCTCCAAGATCATCCTCTCCTAGAGCTGCAGAGGTTGCCATGGAGACAGACAATCACATTGGCCCACGAGTCAGCTCACACCCAGGACCTCAAAGGGTATGTGAAGCCACGAAGTAGCATCCCTTTTTGCCAGCTGCCACTGTGAATCACTTCCCTTGGGCCTGAAGAATCAGCAAACAAGGGACCCTGCACACCAGAGCCCAAGTGGCTTGGGGCACAAGTCCTGCACCCTGGGGGAGAGGGACACTTCTGTTCACTCACTATGGTTTGGGTGTATTCCTGGAGCTTGGGCTCATCGTACGGCCGGTTCGCCTTCTTCAGCAGGTCTGACAGGAATCCCTGCAACACAAAAGGCCTCTTTAGTACTCCTGACTCGTGCATTCGGTCCCTCATTCATTTCCTTACTTGCTCATTCAGACAGTCTCTCAATGTGTGTGTGTGTGTTTTTCAGGTCTACCAGTTCTATGACTCAGGGCCCTCATAATTCCTAACTCTTGGGGAGTGACTTTTAAGGCTGTACTAGCTGGTGGTGCAACCCTGCCTCACAGAATAGGCGCTAGAGATTGGCTCTGCCTCCTGGGAGACCAGTATACGGAGCTAAGCAGTGCCTGGGGAATCACTGGGTGATAGCCAGAGGAATTTGGAGGTGGACCTAGGAGCCAGAGGCCAATCTTCTGGAATTGCCTGGAGGACTCCTGTCCCGAGCATGGAGGTGCAGAAGAGCTGGGTTTCGTTGAAATCTACAGCCTGGCAGCTCTATGTTACTGATTTCCCCTGACTTCTCTAAACAAGTCCAACAATTCAGTGCCAGGTCTGAGTATTCCTAAGCAGCCCGCAAACTCATGCCCCTCATCCAACATCTCCTCCCTCCTCAGGCACCTTAAGCCCACCGCCACTCTGGCCTCACACCCTCCCCAAGGCCCATCCTACCTTGAGCTCATTGGCTTCGATGTAGCCACTCCTGTCTGTGTCGTACTTCCGCCAAGCCTGCAACAACAGGAATGTCAACCTCTTTGCAAAGACGTATCAAAATCTACCCACCTCCCTTCCATTCCCCTTTAATGGGCCACCCAGGGTCTTGATCTTCAAGAATATCGGAATGGGATGGAGACATGGAGATGATGTAGCCCAGACCCTTCAAGGTCACAGAGAAGGAAATGAAGGGAAGTATCTCGACAGTGATCTCATGAGCGCCTGGGCCAGAACCACGCAGCTAAGCTGTTTCCAAATTCTTGACCATCGAAAGTGGGATGTAATCAATGTTTGTTGCTTCAGGCTGCTAAGTTTTAGGGGCAGTTTATTATACAGCAATAAGTAACTCATCCAATGGTCCTGTATACAACTGCTCTGACTTCCCTGCCTTTTACCACATCATCTGGTGGAGAAGAGAGAAAGCCACAGGAGGGGCAGTGGTGCAGGGGAGGGGACTGCCCACATCTGGGGCAAAGATGCCCGGAGAACCATGTTCCGCTATATCTTTGGTCTATTTGGCGCCACATATTTCTAATTTTTTTTTCTTTTTTCTTTCGTTCCTTCCTTCCTTTATTTTCTTTCCTTCCTTCCTTCTTTCCTTCCTTCCTTTTTCTTCCTTTCTTCCCTTCCTTCCTTCCTTTCTCTTTCTTTCTTCCTCCCCCTCCCCCTCCCCCTCTCCTCCTCCTCCTACTCCTCCTCCTCCTCCTCCTCCTCCTCTTTTGAGACAGGGTCTCACTCTGTCACCCAGGCTGTGGTGCAGTGGCGTCCAAAGCTTACTGTAGCCTCTACCTCCCAAGCTCAAGTGATCCTCCCAGCTTAACCTCCCAAGTGCCTCGGACTACAGGCGTGCACCACCACACGCAACTAATTTTTTATTTTTTTGTAGAGATGGGGTCTCACTATGTTGCCCAGACTGATCTCCAAACTCCTGAGTTCAAGTGATCCTCCTACCTCAGCCTCCCATAGTGCTGGGATTACAGGCATGAGCCACCATGCCTGGCTCCTAGATTTTCTTTCAAGTTTTGTTCTCCTGACTTTTCTTCGCTTCTCCCCCAGCTCCAAACTACACACCTGAAGACCAGCAACACTTGATTTTCTGGGAGCCAGCAACCACTAATCCTTTTCCTACATCTTATCCCCTGCCTCCCCCCACTTCTCCACTGCATGTGCCCCTTTATTGTCAGGAGTGTTAGAGTTTATGGACATTTAGAGTTTAGTTATATTTTACGGAAAATGTCTCTTTTTAAACACCAGCAAACAATGTTATGTAATTTTCATGGTGACAGGGCTCAGAAATTTTGGTCCTGATTTTTTTTTTTTTTTTGTCACAAGACAGGAGCAAATCCCAAGAAAAGGGTAGATTTGTACTATATGCAACTTAGGTCGATGGTATTTGATTACAAGAGTGTCTTTTCTCTGCAGAAAAATGCCTTAGACTCTTTGAAATACTCCTTCCCATAGCCAGAAAGTCTGCCCTTGAAAAGGCACTAAAATATATGTGAGGATTTCCAAATATGACTTCACCAACAACTCGCAGGCACTTAGTGCATTACAGTTTAGTTTGTCTAAGTTGAGTCTTTACTGAGAAGAGGAAGACACCCCCTCCAAGTTGCCTAAAAGGGCAATAACCTGAAGGAACCCCAGTCCCTGCACAGAGCAAAGCACCAGCGGCTGCTTTCCCAAGCCATCTTGCCAGCGGGTCCACTTCCGACCATGCACCCCGCCAGGATGCCAGCTCTGGGCTCCCCCACGTGCCTCCTCTCCCCATCCAGCACTTGTGCTCATCATCATCAGTGCATCCTTTCTCTTCTCATTCAAGGAAAAGAGTTCAAGAGACCTGGGCTTTGTGAAATCTCAAAGAAATCCTGAGGCATCACTAAAATTAGGAGTTGTTGTGCTGAGTGCTGGGATGGGAGCTACCTGAGAGCACAAGCCTTTCAGGGCTACTGAGGGACCATTTCAGGCTTCTGGCTGGTAAAAATGGAACAAATGGAACAGACCCCAGGAGGGGACAGTGGGACAGTACTGTGGGAGGGTGGGGTCCCAGAAACCGTGGCGGGCATGTCTCCTCTGCAGTTATGCTGGGACTTAGAAGGACAAATACATGTAAGAATATGAAATCCTGAGGCTGGGCATGGTGGCTCATGCCTGTAATCCCAGCACTTTGGGAGGCCAAGGTGGGCAGACCACCTGAGGTCGGGAGTTTGAGACCAGCCTGACCAGCATGGAGAAACCCCGTCTCTATTAAAAATACAAAATTCACCGGAAGTGGTGGTGCCTGCCTGTAATCCGAGCTCGGCGGGAGGCTGAGGCAGGAGAATCGCTTGAACCCGGGAGGCGGAGGTTGTAGTGAGCTGAGATCGCACCATTGCACTCCAGGCTGGGCAACGAGCGAAACTCCGTCTCAAAAAAAAAAAAAAAAAAAAAAAAAAAAAAAAAAAGAAAAGGAAGGAAAGAAGAAAGAAAGAAAAGAAAGAAATCCTGTCAGCTGCACAGAGAGAAGCCACTAATGATTTTGAGAAAGAGAAAAGGGTCCGGGGAGATGCTTTTAGCTCCTCTGTAAGCATCCCTGCCCCCCCTACAAGGTGCCACCATCCCTGTTTCCAGACCAGAGGTGGAATAGAGGCCAATTTTTGGCTGTCTCTCTATCAGGAAAGGAGTCAGGCATGATGCTCCCTTTTCTATAGTTGGAAAACTTGATACAAAAGCAACACCCTGACAAGTTATAAGGATACGCAGAACTTTTTTTCTCCCAGGCAGGCTAGAGAAGGACTAAGAACAGAAGCTAGAATGTCAATTATCAGCTTGTGGAATCTTGCCATCTTGAAAAAACTGGAGAAAAATCTTTTAAGGCACCATAAAATTAAATCCATCTCTGATGCTCAGGCAAGCTGTCACTTAAAAAATGACTGTTCCACCCTGAGAACTGGTTCTTTCTCACTGACTGTCTGCCCAGGAGGGGAGCTTGCTGCCACACAGGCTTCTGGGCCAGCTCTCCAGTTGTTACAGGCAGTGGATCACAGAGAGGGGATTACCGGTGGCTGGAAATGGATTTAACCCCAATGAATGGCAGAGAGTCACGTCGAAGGCCAGTTATTATTTATCAGAGCAGGCAGTTCGTGAGGTGGGTATGGGTTGAATTTCACTCTGAGGGATGCATATGCTGAATGGTTAGAGTGTGGAGTCCCAGAAAGAGAGCAAGAAATAATTGGTAGTTTGCTGGACATCAGGATTAGTAATATATTTGGTTGAACCACATAGAATTTCCACTTTTTGTAAGTAAAAAATCGTTAAATATCAGCAATTTCATATGGTTCAATTTATCAGATGAATATTACTCAAGAGACATGAATTTGAACATCATATTTTACATGAAGATCTCAAGGAAATTATATTGCCAAGAGGGGAATGCTAATTTTATTTATTTATTTATTTATTTATTTATTTATTTATTTATTTATTAGACAGAGTCTTTGTCGCCCAGGCTGGAGTGCAGTGGCACGATCTTGGCTCACTGCAACCTCTGCCTGCCTGGTTCAAGCGATTCTCCTGCCTCAGCCTCCTGAGTAGCTGGGATTACAGGCATGCACCACCATGCCCAGCTAATTTTTGCATCTGTAGTAAAGATGGGGTTTTTCCATGTTGCCCAGGCTGGCCTCAAACTCCTGATCTCAAGTGATCCACCTGCCTTGGCCTCCCAAAGTGCTGGGATTACAGGCATAGGGCACAGTGACCAGCCAGGAATGCTAATTTTAAAAAGGAAAACCGAAACCTTATCATAGTCAAAGATGAAACGTGGAAGATACCAAAAACTGGAATCCTCACTGGACTTTTGTAGCTATAGAATCGTACATAAGTCCATCCTTCTCTAGCCTGCTTCTTGGAACTCTGACTTCGAGAGACACAACATTATTATTGAGTGGCATGAGATCCTGGAGCCAAACTGAGTGGCACGGTTTTCTTTATTGCTTGATTTCTCAGAGCCTGTGATATGCAAATGACCACAACAAATCCCCACATGAGAGATGCATGTACACAGTGTTTCCCAAGCGTACTTGACCCAAGCTTACTTCTCATCTTATTCCCTACATTTTAATGTGCATACACATCATCTGGGGATCTTGTTAAAATGGAGCTTCTGAGTCACTGGATCAGGGAGTCTGTCTACCTTTTTTTTGTTTTTGTTTTTAATTTGAGATAGGGTCTTGCTCTGTGGCCCAGCCTGGAGGGCAGTGGTGTGATCTTCAGCCTCAAACTCCTGATCTTCCTGCCTTAGCCTTCCTGAGAAGCTGGGACTACAGGTGTGCACCACCATATCCCACTAAGTTTTTTATCTTTTTTTTTTTTTTTAAATTCCTGTTCACTATGGTAGCTTTTTATTTTTGTAGAGACAAGGTCTCACTATGTTGCCCAGGCTGGTCTTGAAACCCTGGCCTCAAAAGATCCTCCTGCCTTAGCCTCCTTGAGTAGGGATTACAGGCCTTTCTCCCTTTCTTTCTTTCTTTTTTTGAGACGGAGTCTCTCTCTGTCACCCAAGCTGAGAGTGCAGTGGTGCTATGTCGGCTCACTGCAACCTCTGCCTCTCGAGTTCAAGTGATTCTCCTGCCTCAGCTTCCCGAATAGCTGGGATTACAGGTGCCCGCCACCACGCCAGGCTAACTTTTTTGTATTTTGGTAGAGATGGGGTTTTGCCATGTTGGCCAGGCTGGTCTCGAACCCCTGACCTCAGGTGATCCGCCTGCCTCGGCCTCCCAAAGTGCTGGGGTTACAAGGCGTGAGCCACCACTCCTGGCCCCTTTCTGTTTTCTAACAGGCACCCAGGTGATACTGATGCTGCCGGTCCACGGACCACACTTTGAGTAGCAGAGCTCTAAGGGGTTTAGCATCTCCCAGGGACCATTACCAGGCAGGAGGGTGGGCCTGGCTCTGAACACAGGAGGAAGGCAGGTCCCAGTGCTTAGAAAGAAGGTGGTGCCTTGGCCTCACCTCCATAAACTCGGCGCTGGAGCCCACGTGCTGCCTGAAGCACAGAAGGAAGTTCTCTTCGGTTGGCAGGATCTGCGCCAGCTGTGAAGATACAGAGAGCGACACTAACGTTATGGAGGGACTTGACAGGGAGCAGAGCAGATTTTCCCCTAAGAAGGATGGAAAGGGCCAGTGGCGAGGCAGTGTGGGAATTGCGTTTTCTTCCTTCCTTCCTTGAGAACGGGTGCTGGCAGTCCTTCAAAGGGAAAGAAGGATGTTCAGAGAAGTGCTTTTGAGTCGTCCCAACCTTAAGGGATGAGCAATTGGAGGGGAAAAAGTGGTGCTGCTTTAAAATGCAAGCACCCAGACTCAAAAGAATACTTAACAGATGATTCCATGTATGTAAAATTCTGAAAAATGCAAACTAATCTAAGTAGATGGGTGGTTGCCTGGGGTAAGAGGGCCTGCACCAGGCTAGAGGAACCTTTTGGAGGGGGTAATAGAAAAGCTATATTTCCATTGGGGTGGCAATTTCATGGCCTAAAATCTAAACTCAAGGAATTTTACACTTCAAATGGATGCAGTTATTGCATGTAAATTGATACTGCAATAATTCGATTTTTGAAAAATGCAGGTACCCTCTTGCAGTAAGCACTGCTGGCTGCCCACCCAACCGCCCTTACCCCCTTTTTTGCTCCTGGAACTCTTGTGTCACAGGCCAATCCTGATGAGTCTACGTTGGTGAAGTGTGAGCCTCCCATTCTCCTTGCCAGTGATTGGCTTACAGGTAGGCACGTGACCCAGTTTTGCCCAATGCAATGTCGGGGAAGGGCTGCTGTGGGTACTTCTGGGAACATTTCCTTGCACTTAAGAGGGGTCCTTTCTGCAGCTGGACAGTGGTTGTATATGGATGTATGTAGTTGGATATGGTTGTATTTGGGTGCATGTGGTTGTATGTGGATGTTTGTGGGTGTATGTGGGTGCATGTGGTTGCATGTAGATATATGTGGTTGTATGGGGGTGTGTGTGGTTGAATGTGGATGTATGTGGTTGTATGTGGGTGCATGTGGTTGTATGTGAATGTATGTGGTTGTATGTGGGTGTATATGGCTGTATGTGGGCACATGTGGTTGCATGTGGGTGCATGTGGATGGATGTGGGTACATGTGATTGGATGTGGATGTATGTGGGTGCATGTAGATGTATGTGGGTGTGTGTGGTTGAATGTGGATGCATGTGGTTGTATGTGGATGTATGTGGGTATATGTGGATGTATGTGGATGCATGTGGGTGTATGTGGATGTGATGCCTGGCGCTGTGGCAGCCATCTTGCTAGCCGCCTGAGGATGAAGGTATTTTGAGGGCAGAGAACAGAACCAAGAGAACTGCAGGGAGGCAGAGCGGGAGCCCTGGCTTCCACCTGGAACAAACCCTAACCCTGGCCTTTCTGTTAGAAGCCTCTCATGGTAAGCTATGGCCCTCAGGCCAAGTATGGCTCAGGAGTTGTTTGTAAAGTTTTATAAGACGTGGCCACACCCACTCATTGACATACCACCCGTGGCTGCTTTTGTGCTACAGTGGCAGAGCTGAAGAGCTGTGGCAGAGACTGGATGGCCCACAAACCCTAACACACTTACCTTAATCTGTATTTTTAGAGAAAAAGCCTGTCAACCCTTGGTTTAAGCCCCTTTGAATCAGCATGGGCATCTATAGTGGCCATTCTTGGTGCCTCTCCCTGCTCCTCTATAACTAGGCTGTTGGCCATCCCTCAGCTGCTATGAAGTCAGACTGCTAACAGCTCAGCCCTGCCCCTGCACAAGAACTGCCCTCAGCCAGACCAGAGCTGCCCCGCTGGGGAAGTTCCACAGGTCCCCTCCTTGCCCAAAGAGGGGCAGCCTGCATCCACTGACTGATTGACACAGGGGTACAACAGACCAGCCCCCTTGCCTCAAAGTGGGACCCACTCTGTGGCACAGTCCACACTCCAGAGTCCCTATAAGCCTAGCCAAGGCGAGGCTCCAGTTGAGACCGCATCCTTGCACAGCACTATCCCCTGCCTTTTCCTGCTGCCCTTCTCTGGAGAGTTCTGCCTCAGTAAGCCACTTCCACTCAAATCTCTGTCTCAGGCACCCAACCTAAGGCAGCATCCCAACAATATACCCTGGGTGGAGCTGTGCCCTAATGCCTGTGCCACCATCATCATTCTTATTTATTTATTTATATGGTTTGTAAAGATGGGGTTTTGTTATATTGCCCAGGCTGGTCTCAAACTCCTGACCTCAAGGATCCTCCGCCTCAGCCTCCCAAAGTGCTGGGATTACAGACATGGGCCACGGAGTCCGGCCAGCACTCTTGAGCCCTTGACTGTGGTCACTGATTACCAGAGGTGTTTGACATGCACCTGTATATGAGTATGTGTGAGTGTATGTGTGTATGTGTATATACGTGTGCATATATGAATGTATATATGTATACATGGATACGTGTAAATTATGTTATATGCAAATTATGTATATATATGTAAATTACTGATGTGAATTATAAATGTATATATGTGTGTAAATTATGTATATAACTTTTAAAAATTATGCCTTTGGATGGCTTTAGGTGGGGCATAGAGTCTCCTGTTCACCTGTCTTCAGCCTCCCTAGTGTCTTCAGCTGGCCTTGCCACTTGGTTACAATACCTGTTGGCCCCTGTGGGCATTTAAGGTCTCCACCCCTATCTTTGGCCATTGTTTGTCACTTCCTTCTTCCTTGGGTGACACACAAGAAAAGTCCCTGCTGTTCTCTTTGGTCAGCCCAAGTGCTGGGGGTGCAGGAGCTTTGAGGCCCCCACCTCACTCCAATCCTCAGCAGGATGCTCATGCCTGGGAGAGGCACAGGGACCCAGGGCCCCTCCCACACAGCTCTTTACCAGCGAGGCAGGGCTCACCTCTGCCATCTCGATTTTCCCATCTGAGTTTTTATCATACTTCTGCATGAACTCCTTCATCTTTTCTCCAAAGTTGTCACTCTTTGACATCTGTGGAAAGACAAAGGGGGCTGATTTTTGCTGCTGTATCTCATGTGAACCATGATCTCAGAGCAGGAAGCTTGGAAATCATTTGCATCCTGGGTAAGTGGGTGCAGAACCAAGTTGTGCTGATGCTCTGATTGATCAGAGCTGTGTTGTTTTCCTTTCCAGGTTCCCTTCAAATTAAGTCATCTCTTCTTCAAGGCTCAGTCATATAAATTTCAAAGGACACGTGGCCATGCTCCATACCAGGTAATCAAACATGCCCTGCTGCCTTTGAGATGGATTAAGCTACAACTCTATAGGAAGGGTTTGGACTTGTTCCCATCACTCAGATGTGAGAATTAAGGCCTCAACATTTTACTGAAGCAGGTTGTAATCAAACTGAACTTAATCCAGTGCCCCCTAATAGGTTCTAAGCACTTCATTACAGCAAGGTAGATTGCTCATTTTCTTTAAAGACTAACTGGCAATTCCACAATATTTTCACTCTTGATTTTCATATCAGGAGGAACATGAGGAGGAGGTCATCATGTAGCCGAAGGGTAATTTAAACAGTCCACCCAATTATTCTGACTACTAGAAAGCAAAGAACTTAAAACATTCCTTCAAGCCCACAGCTGTCTATCTTAAATATAGACTTGAAGCTCTTGAACCTTCCCCTGATTTGAGATAGTGCTGATTAATTATTTGCATTAAGGAGCTCTTCCTTCTCCCTAATCAATGATGAGCCCACCTTGCACGGCTGATGTTTCTGCCTCACTCAGCTGATGACTTCCACATGAATTGTGTGCTCCCCAGGATTGGGCCAAGGGAAATCCTACCACTTCTGAGAGTTTCCTGAATCCCTCTGATTGCTTTTTACTTTTGGAATTAGTATCAATTTGTCAATATTTATTTGTTTATCAGTATTTATTTATATTTACAAAGGTACATAGTCTGATCCCAGGCACTTGTCACAAATGTGGCCATCTTATTTAAGTTGTACAGTAGCTCCTGTGAAGTTAGTAGCCCTTCCATTTGACACACTAATGGAGGCCGAGATGACTTCTCTAGAGGGCACCCAGTAAGTAAAGCCAGAATTTGAACTCATGGCTTTTGCTTCCAAGGCCAATATTCTTTCTACTATATAACAGCTGCTCTGAGAACCAGTCCTGGATGGCATCAGTTGGGATTGTTGACAGACTTGAAAATTACCCGGATGACATCTGAGGAAGGGAATGACTAAGAGAAGGATTCTAGATGCAAAGCACTTCATAAAAACACATTTCTCCGACTAGCCCATGATCCCAGAGTCAGTCCTGAAGCCCATGCTTTCTGTGATCGAGGCTTCATTATCCTAGGAATTGATGGGACAACTGTTGATAAACAAACCCATGAATCGCCTCCAACCCTTTAAGCCCATCACTTTGACCTCCTCATTGGGGCGCTCTGCCAAGCTTTGAACCAGGAGCTCACCGGTGGATTTGTGACTCATCTCCCAAATGCTCCCTGAAGAGCTGCAAATAAACAGTGGATTGGCCAACAGACACGCAGCAGGGGAGAGTAGAGACGCCTCCAGAGGACCCGAGGGAGCTGATGGGAGGGTGTGGGGCTGACTCCATGTACTCCAGAACCAGACACGGCAATCACAGCAGACTAGTTCCAATCACCTGAGCTTTGCAGTATTTCAAATACCTCCCCCAAAAGGCTTTAGCAAACTCAGTAGTGCCACGTTGGCACCAGGGAAAGCAACACTCCTGTCACTAAGGGGCTGGGATGTGATCTGGAGTCACTTTGGGCAGGCTCAGAAGGTCGTGACACCACCACAAATGAGGCCAGCCAGTGCCGTCTGGTTCAGATACTGGCTGAGAGCAATCCTCAATTTTCCTCTAGTTCCTTGCTGGGGATTCTAGCCCGTGTTGCTCTAGAACAGTGGTTCTCTTCTGAGGACGATTCTGCCCCCAGTCTCCCACCAGGGGGACATTTGGCAATGTTTGGAGACAT
The DNA here is from genome assembly GCF_000001405.40 of Homo sapiens. NCBI lineage: Eukaryota > Metazoa > Chordata > Mammalia > Primates > Hominidae > Homo > Homo sapiens. Next base: position 240,264 of record NW_013171813.1, on the reverse strand, counting down.
TTTTGATGGTCACAGCTTGAAGGAGGATGATAGTGGCATCTCATGGGTAGATCCCGGGATGCTGCTAGTCTCCTACAGCGCACAGGGCAGCCCCTGCAACAAATTATTCAGCCTCAAATGCCAACAGCGCTGAGGCTGAGAAACTCTGGTCTAGAATCAGGGCACTTGAAACCTCCTGGGCATCCAATCTGGAATCATGACCCCTAAGCACCTGAGGGAAGCTATGGACTCTGTCCCTAGGGACAAAAAAATACTACATATATATTAATATACGCATACGCAGACAAAGCTTTGCAGCTTTGCAGGAGGATTCATCAACCCCTGGTGTCCACTCATGAATACCCCTCAATCCCAGACACCCAAGGATATTGAGATAGGGTACTCTTAGGGGACAGTCTATTTTTTATCCTTACAAATAAAATGCTGTGTCAAGACCAGCGATATGAGGCCTGCTTATGGCATACATAACTGGGACACAGCATGCTCAAAGGCATAGGTCAGGAAAATCCCACACAATCGGAGACAGGGCTGGGCTTACCATGCCAGAGCCTTTCCTTGCCTTCTCCAGCTCTTGGAAAAAGTTTTCTAGCTCTTTACCTTCAATATACCCATTTCCTGTAAAAAGAGAGAGAAAAAATCAATCTCAGCACTAAATAGTAAGGGGGGCACGGGGTGGGCATGTCGGGGGCTTCGTGGAGAATGTCTTCTCCCAGCTGGCCAACAGGCAGGTGTCTAGGCCAGTGGAGCTAGGGGTGTGGGTCCAGCCCTCAGGGCATTTGCACCTAGAGATCCAAGATGAACAACATACATTCAGCAGCTAGAAAATACTGGGAGGAACTAGCACAGGGTCCGAGAGGACAGAGGAGAGCAGAAGTTGGCAGCTTCCGAATCTGTCCTTAATGTCTGGGCAAGCACGAGGTGGCAGAGGTGTGACAGGTCATCAGCAAGTGGCGGGACCTGGTCAGAGGCAGAACTGGGGTCCCTGGAGTTCAGAAGGTGTAGCGGGTTGGAGTGCTCCCCCAGAATGGGACCTTATTTGGAAACAGGGTCATTGCAGATGTCATTAGTTAAGATGAGTCATACTGGATTGGGGTGGGCCCTAAATCCAGTGGTCGGTGTCCTTGTAAGAAGGCTTCATGGAGACACAGAGACCCAGGAAGAAGACCATGTGAAGATGGAGGCAGAGGCCAGTGTGATGTGTGTACAAGCCAAGGAACGCTGTGGGCTGCCAGCAACCACTAGAAGCCAGGAGGGAGGCAGGGAGCAGATTCACCCTCAGAGCTCTAGCAGAGCCTGCCGACACATTTATTTCACACTTCTAGCCTCTAGAAATGTGAGAGAATACATTTCTGTTGTGTTAAGTCACCCAGTTTGTAGTGCCTTGCTATAACAGTCCTAGGAAACAAAAACAGAAGGGCCCAGAAAAGAGAGAACCACAGGGCATCTGTCCTATGGGATGTCACCTCCCACCCCCTGCCCTACCTGAGACTTGGTCACAGGGATCAAGGGTAGGAGAGGCATCCCACCTGGTAATGAAGAGAGGAGGCTCTGAGGCCTGTGGATGCAGATTTAAAGACTGGTTCTGCTGTGCTTACCAACAGTGTGACTTTGAGACAGTTATTGAACCCATCTCATCTGCAAAGTGGGTTATTATAATTAAACAGGATTTTGTGTGGAAAGCCCATCCTCTAGTCATTATGAGTGCAGCATAAATGTTGTTACTGAGTTCCATTACCAGAACCCGTGCCTAAGGTGGGAATGAATCTGTGGGAAAAGTGCAGTGATCAGAACCAGGTCCCGAGGTCACAGCCTGACTTGCGAGATCACATAAGTAGTGAGAGGTCCTTTAGGCTCTCACGCCTTGAGCCTGGATGGTCTACTAGAGACCAGGACTGAGCTGAATGCATGGTCAAGGTCACTGGTCAGTGCTGTGATGGGGAAGGAGGCATTTGTGGGTGGGAAATCAGGCAGGGCTCAGGCCGTGCCTCCTAGACTTTGCTGTGGCAAAGAATCTCCTGGGGATTTTTCCTTTTTTTTGAGACAGGGTCTTGCTGTGTTGCCCAGGCTAGAGTTCAGCACTATTCATAAGTGTGATCATAACATACTACCGCCCCAAAATCCTGGGCTCAAGTGATCCTCCTGCCTCAGCCTCCCAAGTAGCTGGGATTACAGGTACCTGGCACCCAGGGATCTTAAAAAAAATATGGATATCTGGCCCCCACCTCTAGACTTTCTGATGCAATTTGTTTGGGGTGTGAACTAAGCACCATGATTTTTTTTTTTTTAACACTCCCAGGTGATTTCCTGTGCAGCAAAGTTTGAAAACCACTGACCTAACATCAAGTTCCAAATTTGATCTAAAGCCCTTGAGCAAGATTCCCGTAGAGGAGATTCAACTCGAATGGGAAGGGAGGTGGTAGCTTTCACCAAGGGCAAATGGAATTACAAACGCAACAGAGAAAATAAAGGAGCATTTACCCCAGCCTCTGTGAGGGGTTGTGGGGGGAGGCTTTTCCCAGCCTCTCCTCCTAGGGCCCCCTGAGAATTTAAATTCTTAATAAACTTAGAGGCACTCTCGAGTGAAGAATATGCCACAATAAATATTGTATGGCACGAATCACATGAGATAAATTATGTATTTTTGTCTGCAGGGAAAAGACATGATTGCAATGGGCTCGCAGAATGAGATTTGAGTTCCCTTTTATCCTAGGATGGGGTGGTTATCTTCCTTCTAGGATGTTTGTAAAGCTTCTTAGGAGAACTGGAATTTCAGAAGAGTGTGGTTCCTGTGAGGCCGGCTAAAGTAGGGGAGTGAGGGACAGGGAGATGGGCTTTCTAGGCAAAAAGACATCGTCTAGTTGATGATGCTCTGAGTTGGAAGAATGAGTAATTTTTCTCTTCCTGGTTACTCCCTGCAGCGATCTGGCTATTCTCCTATCACTGAGGTGCAATTTCTTCTCAACTGAGAAGGCAAAGTCACATTCTTCTCGGAGGCTTTGTAGAGTCAGACGGGGAGGTGGAAAGCTGAGCTCAGCCCTGGGTGCATCTGCAGCTTCCAGAAGCCCGAGGCTAGGGCAGGAGGTGGGGGCTCAGAGCTGGCACCACGAGTGCGTGTCATGGTTCAGTGAAGCAGAGGCCACAGGAGCCAGGGCTGGGCGGACACAGGAGCGAGTATATGTTTCATGAGTGTATCGGGAGGTGGCTGAAAGGAACTGGGTAGGGGAAGCCCGCAGAGCAGCATGGTATGTTTCCAAGAGCCGCCTCCACTTAGCTCTGAACAGGGTCCGTCATCCCTCTGTGGAGCCCTGTTTTGCACCAGGTCCTTCATGTTCTGCCATTTCTTCTCTGGCCCCTTCACCTACCATTTGGGGGGCGGCAGAGTGACTGGCCTTTCTTGCTGAGGCACCGACACCTGGTTCTTCTCCTCCCTCTGTCGTACCCAGATTAGAGGACACCACCTCTGTGAACCTCAGTTTCTTCTCCTGTGAAATGGGGACAATGATAGCACCCTCCTCATGCAGCTGCCATGAAGATTAAAGAGGATAATAATACACTCGCAGCGCTGGCCTGCAGCGAGCCTCAAACATGCCGGCGGACACTGCCATTATGGCTGCTGTTTGTGCTTCCCGCCCATGCTGCAAACACCTTGGCCCTGGGCTGCTTTCTTCAGGTTGGAAAGATTTAGGGGAGCAGAGGGAGGCTAGAGCAGGCAAGGCTAGCACGGAGCCCCGCCCCACTGAACGCTCTGAACCCAAAGAAGTAAAGTACAGATCTCTAGGGGCCATCTTTTCCTTGGAGTTTTTCTGGAACTTAGAATAAGTATTTATTTTTACTCCATCTTTTTTTCTAGAAAGGTTTGAAGGAGGTTTAACAACCTCAAGAAACTCAGACAATCATCCAGTGCCTCGCCCAGCAGGAAAGTGCTGAAGGTCAGTGGAATGTCTTTAACTTTTCAAAGCGCTTTTGCCGTCTTTCTTTGCTCCAGCAGATAATTTGAGCCCTCACTATGGGTAAGACCTGTGTGGGTTGCTGTGGGGGAAATGAACCCACACATAATCTTTCCAGACACACGGGCATGGCAGAGTAGAATCCTTTTCTGGTGACAGAAGACACTGAGGCACAGGACACAGAAGGCAAGCAACTTGCTCAGGACCACACAGCCAGGGAGGACCAGAACGGAAGTGTCCTAATTCCTGATCCAGGCTTAATTCACTCATTCATTCATTTGAGGAATTTTTTTATTTTTATTTTATTTTATTTTTAGACAGGGTCTGCTCTGTCACTCAGGTTGGAGTGCAGTGGCTGGATCACGGCTCAGTGCAGCCTAATGTCCTGGGTTCAAGCCGTCCTCCCACCTCAGCCTCCCAAGTAGCTTGGACGACGGGCACATGCCTGAATAATTTTTTGTTTGTTTGTTTTTGGTAGAGACAGGGTTTTGCCATGTTGCCCAGGCTGGTCTTTAAATCCTCCACCTGTCTTGGCCTCCCAAAGTGCTGGGATTACAGGCGTGAGCCACCGTGCCTGGACCATTGGAGGAACCTTTATTGAGCATCTGCATTGTGCAGGCACTGGAGGTGCAAAGGCCAGCTAGGTCCTGCCATGGTGGGGCTTATGCTGTAATGGGGTGTGGGTGGGGCAGGGGACAGATAATAAGCAAGGAAATGAATTTAAACATGGTGTTTCCAGTGTCGAGAGCAATGAAAGAATGATGGTGTCATAGAGTAGAGATCGACTTCCAGGGCTTCTTGGAAAGGATGAGCAGGGAAGACCTCCCAAGAAGCCTCAGCCTCTGGGAAGGGGGCAGAGAAAGGAAGGAGGAAAACTGGAGGCAGGGAAAGGGGTCCAGGAGCTAGAAGGGCAGCCCTGTGGAGAGAAGCCGCCTCTCTGAATTCAGCTTGTGCAGCACAGGCAGCAGGAGGTTCCCGGGGCAGGAGGAACCCCCCTCCCCACACTAGGAATTCCACTACCTCCCTCTGGGCACCTCAACAAAAGGCAGAAATGTGGTTCAATGCAGTAAGCCTTGATGTTTTGAACTGAGCCACTGTTCCACTTTGTGCCTGGTGCTCAGGGAGCTATCACCAAGTTTTAGATGTGGGCCCATTTCCCAAGAGCATCAATGGTCAGCCTGGGAGAGGCAGGCAGACAGGCAGCTGATGGCAGACAGTGAGGAACACAGGAGAGATCGGCAGGTGGCGCTGCAGGGCCCAGAAGGGACACTCCACACCCAGCCCTCGATTGTGGATGGCAAATGGCCTTCGCTGCTCTGGCTTCCCTCAAAGCAACTCCCCATCCATCTGCAGGAAGCCCTTATCACTAGAGGCTGGGGTAGAGGAGGGGCTGGTGCACACCCTTCTAGGATGACATCGGCACTGAGTGAATGGTCTGATGTTTCTATGACCCTCTTGCAGCGGGTGGGGTGACTGGTCACCAAGCAAGGCTCATGCGGATGGGCATCGATAAAGACATCGATAAAGACGTGGTTACCATGGCAACCATCACTTCTAACTTCTTATCAAACCACATCCTGTGAACATGAGGGAGCAGAGCCGAAGTGAGAGCCAGAGACCCTGCATCCTTCCTTATTCTACTCTTGCTACCATTCCGCACCACTACCGTGCCTCAGTTTCCCCCAATTTAAAGTGAGACAATACTTCTTTACCTTTCATCTGACCACGGACACTTGGGAAGCCATGCCTAGAGGAGGCTTCACCCCTCAGTGAAAAGAGACCTCAGGGAGACCTTGTTCTCCCTGAGCCTTGTACATTCAGATTTTCTAGGAGTTGAACAGGTAAGAGGTACCTGAGTAAGAGGTATAATATTAATAATTCTACCGCCTGCTCTATGACTGTCCATGTGATGTTGGGCAAGTCAATCTCTCTGAGCCTCAGTTTCTTTATCTCTAAAATGGGAATAACTATTTATGCCCTCTCTACTTTACAGAGTTATGGTGAGAGCTGTACAAGGTAATGTTGTGGAAGCATTCTGAAAGATGTAAAATCTCACATAAATGGAAGGAACAAATATTGCCTTCCATTTATACTCCCTCCTCTTAAGTTCCTCTAAATCAATTTATAGATGAAAACCCGTTAGCCTGAAGAGTTCCAGCACCACTGCTTTCCTTAGAATACTGGTTCTCAAGCCAGGTGTGGTGGCTCACGCCTGTAATCCCAGCACTTTGGGAGGCTGAGGTAGGTGGACTGCTTGAGGCCAGGAGTTCAAGACCAGCCTGGCCAACATGGTGAAACCCCATCTCTACTAAAAATACAAAAATCAGCTGGGTGTGGTGGTGTGTGCCTGTAGTCCCAGCTACTTGGGAGGCTGAGGCACGAGAATTGCTTGAACCCAGGAGGCGGAGGTTGCAGTGAGGTGAGATTGTGCCACTGTACTCCAGCCTGGGTGACAAGGCGAGACTCTCTCTCTCAAAAAAAAAAAAAAAAAAAAAGGCCAGGCACTGTGGCTCACGCCTGTAATCCCAGCACTTTGGGAGGCTGAGGTGGGTGGATCACAGATCAGGAGATTGAGACCATCCTGGCTAACATGGTGAAATCCCGTCTCTACTAAAAATACAAAAAATTAGCCGGGCGTGGTAGCGGGCACACGTAGTCCCATCTACTTGGGAGGCTGAGGCAGGAGAATGGCGTGAACCTGGGAGGTGGAGCTTGCAGTGAGCCAAGATCCTGCCACTGCACTCCAGCCTGGGTGACAGAGTGAGACTCCATCTCAAAAAAAAAAAAAAAAAAAAAAAAAAAAAAAAAAAAAAAAAAAGAGAGAGAGGGAAGAAAACAAAGAAAGAAAGAAAAAAGAATACTGGTTCTCAGTTGAGGCTGTGTATTAGGATCACCTGGGAATATCTGAAAACAACATTGTTGCCTTGGCCCCATCCCCAGAATTTCTGATTTAATGGATGGGGGGAAGGGGGTGTTTTCAAAGCTCTGCAGGTGATTCTAAAGCTCAGAACAGTAAAGGCTTGGAACCGCTTCAGAGCAGCATGTCTCAAACTTTAGGGTACATAAAAAGTACCGTAATAATCTCCACTTATTAAAGTGGAGATCCTAATTCAGTAGGATTGGAGCATAACGCCGTGCTGTTCAAAGTGCAGTCTGTGGACCAGTAGCATTGGAACTACCTGGGTGCTTGTTAGGAATGCAGAATCCCAGGCCCACCTTGGACCTACTGAATCTTTCTCTGGGGGGTGGTGCCCAACAATCTATGGATCACACTGTCTTGGTGATTCATCAGTGTGCTAAAATCTGAGACGCATTTGCTCAGTGGTTTTCAAATTTTGGTCTAGGCCAGACATATGAGTGTCACTTGGGGGCTTCTTAGAAATGCAAATTCTAAGGACTACAGAATCTGAGTCTCTGGGGATGGGGTGCAGAAGCCTGTGTTCTAAGCAGCCCTTCAGCACACTCAAGATGTTGCGTCCAGTCGCTTCTAGTGCACCAGTCTGTGTAGCACTCGCAGTCCATAGATTAGAGAGGTCAAAGGAGGGAAGGTTCGCACCTTCCTCCTTGAGCTGCACCAGAATTTCCTCGTTAAGGAATTTCCTCGTTAAGCTGCACCAGAAGGCATCCAGGAGGCCAGGCCGCTTGTCGGTCTATCTGGAGTTCAGATTTATCGAAGGCAAACAGTCCTCTAACCTCCATCTGGAGCACCCTCTGGGACAGTCAAATCCTACCCTTTGGGGTAAGAAATTGGCTTCCCCAGGCTCTGCCCCAGTATTAATCCTGCTTTGCTTGGTGCGCACCATTCCCAAAAAGCTTTCCACTTCCCACCTCATCTGTTCTTTACGACCCTGCCAGGTAAGCAGTTATCAACCCCATCTTAGAAAGGAGGAATCGGAGGGGGAAGGAGATTCAGCCACAGCTGACAGAGGTCCTGGCCTCCTTCTATTTGTCCCAGGGACAATGTCTGTCCATATCTGCATTTGTCCTGGCTTCTCTCTCTGACACACACACACACGCTTCTTCCAGTGGCTTCTGGAAAAAAGAATAAGCCCCAGAGTGAAGAGCTACCAGCCACCAGCTGAATGTTTGGGCACTTGAATTTCAATCTATGTTTCTGGGCTGTGCTGCTTTGGACCCGTGGTTCTGGAGCTGGGCTGGGTCCCCTGAACCTGTGGACATCTGGCAGCCTAATGCTGGGCTGAGTCCCAGGCATGAGGGAGGCCAGAAGGATAGGGCAGATTGGGTGAGAGGGGAGATAGTGAAGAGCCAACAAGGACAGAGGGAGGGCTGAAGCCAGAGGCCCCAGATGGGCCGGCTTGGCAAAGGAGGGCCTGGGATGCAATCCGCCGGCAGGCTGGGGCTGGAGAGGCACTGTTCTTGAAGAGCCTCAGGCCTGCTCTATTAATTCTAGCTCCTTTGGTTTTGGAATTGATTTCCCTGAGGGGTCTCCTTAGCCCTGGAAACCTCCCTCAGGGGCTTGGCTGGTAAAGCTGCTGAAGTCTGGAGGGGAATATACAAGCTGAGCAGGGCAGGGACAGCCGGCCTGGCTGTCAATATCAAGGCAATGCAGGGCTGGCATCTTGTTTGTGAAACGGGTCCCTTAGGCGGGCTCCCCCGGGGAGCCCCAGCTCTTCACAGACCAGCTGCTCCCCGCTGCCGGCTGGTGCAATCAGAGTCTGAGAAGCAGAGCCATAGCAGGCAAGAGCCCACCTGGAGGTACCCAGCGTAGAGCTGCTGCACGTGGACACTCCACAACCCAAGGACGCTGTTAGTGAAAAAACTGAGGAGTTGGGGGAGGGAGCAGAGGCAGGGGTGGGGGACATTTTCCAGGGCCTACCCCAGATGGGTCAGGCGGCTGTTCCCTGAGAGCCTCATATCCTGACATCACGCCACGCCCAGCTGAGAGGTATACAGACCCCCAGAGGTTCACTAACAGGGTTCAGAGAAAGCGCTCCTCTGACAACTTTAATCTTGGTTCCCAGTGTCGGACCCTGTTGATTTTAATGGGCCAAGACCCAATCGTTTTGATAAATCCTATGATTACCTTATAGCATTGTAACTGTTGTGTCATTTATATAAACACTTAATATACATCACATATTTTGTGACCCTATTTCAGCATGTGTTTCACTTTGGTATTGCAGGACCTCTCATGCAGCCGCCCAGGGCCAGTTGCCCAGGTTCCCGTTCATCTCTGAGAGGTGCTGCTGTTCTAAATTTCCTCCCCATTCCCTAAACCAGGGACAAACAAATGAGCAGTGACCCGTGCCCTGGAAGAGCCTGCCTGGGCACTGCAGTCTGGCCCTGAGTGGTCCTCAGTGTTGTGTGGGCTTGGAGAAGACTTCTGCCAGGTCACTGGGTTTCAGAGGGCGAGGATGGGAGCCTGCGTAGAGCCATCCTCAGCCCTTTGTGGCCTCTGTTGTTATTTTCAAAATCCTCAGGGTCCACATAGATAAGGAACAGGACTCAGTCCCTGTGAGAGGCTTTGAGCACCCCCTACGTCACCTGGGCCACTTGGAGGTGGACAGAAGCCCAGAAGAGTATAGGCAGATCCCCCCACCTGGAGACATATACATATTTCTTACAAGGGAAGAAAAGGTGTCTATCACATTGTTTTCTTCTTATATCTTTATTTATTTAGTTAGTTATTTTTTTAAAGATAGGGTCTGGCTCTGTTGCCCAGGCTGGAGTGCAGTGGTGCAATCATAGCTCACTGCAGGCTTGGACTACCTGGGCTCAAGCCATCTTCCTGCCTCAGCCTCTCAAGTAGCTGGGACTACAGGCGTGCGCCACCACACCTGCTTAATTTTTAAATTTGTAGTGGGGGGAGGGGGGGTCTCACCGTATTGCCCAAGCTGGTCTCGAACTCCTGGCTTCAAGTGATCTTCCTGCCTTGGCCTCCCAAGGTGCTGGGATTATAGGCCTGAGCCACTGTGCCTGGCCTCCCTTCTTATATCTTTATTGTTTTGCTGACTACACAGGAAATAGATGCTCTTGTAAAATTTTCAAGTGCTATGGAAATTAACTTAGAAAGTAAAAGAAAATCCCCTTTCATTTGGCTCATCCACTCTTCAGAGAGAGCCGCTATTATTCAGTTGTATTTTTCTAAATATCCTGCAACATACATATATCATTCATAATAAAAACGGGCTTATAATAGTGTTCAGCTACAGTTTTAAACAATATCTTAATAATACATCTTGGACATTTTTCCATGTCACTACAAAAGCTTCACTTCGCTCTATCATACTCCATCATAGGGATGACCATATTTATTTTTCTGTCCCCCAGTGAAGCACATTCTCCCCTCCACCCACTGAAATTGTTAGTATTTCCGAAGAACACTGTAATAGACATGTTTGTTCATATAACTTTCTGCGCACATACGAGTATATCTATGTAGGCTAGATTCTTGGAAGGGAGTAGGATGTTCACCTTGGCCCCATGAATGTCTGCTTGCCCCTGGAAGAGAACTCATCTTATCTTTACATTCTTAGTTGCTTTCAAAGGGGTAGCAAAAGCTAAGGCATTTCTCTTTGGAGCCACAACTTTGCTGCTCGCAGATGGTCAGCAAAATAGGAGCCCGGTGGCCTGTCTAATCAGAACCACAAATAAAGGACAGTGTGAACTCTGAACTGGGCATCCCTCAGCCACCTGGATCCTTTAGAGGGGGAAAGGTCCTGATACAGAAGTGTCCAGGAAGCAACAGAGCAATGGGCTCAGATACGTAAGGCCACGTCAGGGCCACTCGGAGCATGGAGGTGATGTTCGGAAGAGCCCTAGACCCCACCAGGGTCACTGGGTGGGCTTGGCTGTCATCTTCCCTACCTCAGCCTTTGAGAGACAACGTTGGAACCCTCCCAAACGCATGCTCTTGGCTGACTGCTGAGGCAGAGTTGGTGGAGTGGTATTGCGGACTAGGAGACCAGATTCCTGGTTTCCCCTTCACCTCTTCCTGCTTTGCTGTGTGATCTTGTGAAAAGAATTTTGCCTCTTTGAGTCCTAGTTTCTCACTCTCCAAACATACACTTCTTCCTTTCTCTACCACAAAGCTAATAAGAATTTTGAAAATAATCCAACTCTTTAGGGTGATGGTGGCTTTTTCTGTTTTGGAATGGGCTAAGGGTCCTCCTGCCCCCATCCTCCCTCTCGTTGGGATTCAGCTGCCTCCTAAGGTCTCTTTGTCTTTGTTTACTACCAGCCAGCATCCAGAAGGGGTGGGGAGGTGGCTCCAACTCTCTGGGGGCTGTGGTTAATTGGGCTCCAGCGAGCCCACTCCAGGGACCTGGAGAGCTGCAAGGGAGAGTTCTCTCAGGTGTTTTTAAGATTGTGAGTGGTAGGGGGTACTCTTAGAATTGGGAAGAAACCCCATGTTGAAAACGGAAACCAGAATTGGTAGGAGAGAGGCCTAAACAGGGCTGGGAGTGCCTCAGGCACTGCGGTGTTGGGCTCACCTGGCAGCCTTTGGGTGTTCAGGAGGGGAGGAAGGTCGCCCAAAGCCTAATTCTGGATCCTTTTGTGGAATTCCGATTTGGCTGTATACATATCTTCCTAAGTCACCTCTCTCTCATCTCTGGTATTTTAATCCTCATGGCCCTCCTTCTCTGTCGGGTCCATGGCCTTTCCTTGGGACTTCCCTGAGGCTGTGATGTAGAGATGGCAGTGGAAGTCTGATGGACAAGGAAGAAGGTGCAAGCATCAAGCTCCCCCTTCACCCCGGAGCAGGAGGGAGCCAGAGGCACAATGGCTTTAGGAGGCTTTGAAGATCATGGGTTTGGTGGTAGCTTAACTACACTCTAGCCAAGCCAAGGACCCCATTTTGGGATACACGAAACTGCCCATCAACCCCAAGGGTGGGCTGGGGGCTTTTCTTTGGGGGAATGGGAGGGAGACTTATACCTATCATCATGGAAAAAAACCCTCTTCCAAACCAAGCAGGTGTTCAGGAACCAGAGTGGGAGAATAAACGCTGGCCAGGAACCAGCCCCACCAGTAACTTGCTCCATGACCTCGGAAAAGTCAACCCCTGTGTCTGTTTCCTCATCTGTATAAGGGGAGTCATGGTCTGCCCAGCAGCCTCACACCTTGAGAAGGTGCAATTGTGCTTAAGTACAATGTCTCAGATCAACGTAAGGATCTGCGTGGTTATGGACAGTGCTCTTGCTTGTCCCTCTGAGAATGGGGGAAAGTAGAACTATAGAGTCCTCTGTTTATAGCTGACTCATCTACCAGGAAGCCAGTGGTGTAACCTTGGCTGCTTGGTAACTTTCCTTGAATCATGCAAGTCTGGTGCAGATAAACTGGCAGGAGCCTCCTTAGGGAATGTGCATGTCATCTGGAATACTAAAAGGCTGCACTTCTCTTAGGAGAGCACTTTGTACCAAGGGAATTTTATGGCAGGAGCTGGGGATTGGAAACACAATCCCTCCTTAGCCCCATTTTACAGATTTAACAATCTACCCACTTCCATCAGTAATTCATAGGCAGATCACAGTCCTAACTCAGGTATTCAAATGCCTAGTCCCCTACCCCTCTAGCTTTCTCAGTTGGCTCCAAGGAAACAAAATTTCACCCATTAGCATCCCCAGACATTAACCCCTGCCTCCCCATAGCACTCTGGGCAGAGGATCTCTGCCCAGCCACCTCCACACCCTGCCAAGGCGAGGAAGGGAGGAGGGAAGAATGGAGTGAGGCACACCTGATGCCCCTCTGTTTTCCATCCCCCTTGCTCTCAGACCCCAGGATAAACTCCCTGTCATCCCACACAGATCTGGGACAGGGGCCTGAATGACAGGTGTCAGAGCCCACAAGGCTGAGCCTGGCCCCCTGGGGGGCTGTGCAGTGCAGTGGTTAAGAACTTGTCTTCTGGAGACAGCATCTGTCTTAGCCTTTCCCGTTGGCCTCCCTTTGGGGTCAGCCCCTCCAGGAGCCATTAGCTACCCGAGGGGAGGGTAGCTACAGACACCACAAAATGTCTGAGATGCCAGGATATTTTGGATGCTCATCTTAGCCAGGTCTGTGCGTAGAGAGGGAAATCAGATCACTTATTTTTTCGGAGTAACAGAAACAGAGTCTCTAGTGATATCAAAAGCCTCTAAAGGAGGACCACCCTTTATGCCTGAGTCAGACCACCACAGACACTTGGAATCCCAGTGCTGGGGGCTACCTCCAAAGGTCATTTGGTCTGGCCCTTGCTTTTTGGGTGAGTCAGTGTCAAGACCACACAGAGCAGAGGGTTAGTCACTGAGGCACTTAGGGTGGTGCCTCCCCCTACCCAGAGATGAAGTCACCAAGAGTACCCAGGATTATCACTATGAGGGAACAGGTCTGGGACTGGCACCCCAACGCTGCCCGCCACCACACCCACTGCTGCTGTATTGGGAAACCTACATGCCCACGGCGGCTGGAAAATGGACAAAGGAAGCAGGGGGGTGTTCAGGGCCCCCAATGCCATTTTCCACTCCTGCTCCCAGCCAATCAAGCTGGGGAGGCCACGTTTCCCTTCAGGATCCCCTAATTTATCCCAGCCTCCAGCAGGGTAAGGGGGCTAACCTAGCATTCAACAAAAGGGGAAGAGGAGGAAAGAAATGAGTGGTCTTCTGAGACCTGTGGCTGGAGCAGCTGAAGGCAGGGGAGGTGGGGGAGATGGCAGGGGGAACCTGGAGGCCTTCCCAGCCCAGGCCACCTCTCTGAGAAAGCTCCCACTTGCTCAGAATAAAGGTGCAAATGCGGGTGGGCTCTGGGTCATCTATGTTAGGGAAGAAAGTTACTGACAGTTGTGCCCAGAGCAGCCGGATGTCTCCCAAACCCGGGACCACTACCCCAGCAGGCTCTGCGACCAGACCACCTCCTGAGGGCAAACGTACACCTGCCCGCATTCAGCGCCGCCCCCTGCCCCCTTCACCGCAGGTCCCCTGGGTGCCAATGGGCACAGAAGTTGGGAGCTTTACTGACCGTCTGCGTCAAAGTGCTTCCATATTTCCAGGAACTGGGACGCCGTCAGCTCGGCCAGGTGCAGGTAAGGGGGCTGCTGCTGCGGGCCAGCCATGGCGAGCCGCTCGGAGACCTCAGCCTGCACCGCTCCCGCTCCGCGCCGGCTGGGCTCTGGCACTCGCGCTGGGGTTGTGCGCCACGCTGCCCTTATATACGCTCTGGAGCCTGCGCCTGCGCCCGGCCGCCAGAAGGGGGCGCGCGCGCTCAGGGAATCCGACCGGGGCGCGGCGCGGCGGGGGCGGCGGCGCGAGAGGCTCGGCCCGGACTCCTAGAGGGCCCTTACCTCTGCGCTGAGACCCCTCGGCGCGGGGCCAGGGACACCCGGAGGATTTTCGGTGAAAATGAGGGAGAGGCTGCCCTTGCCTTCCCTCCCGACCGTCTTGAGTACATCCACCACTTATTATTGCTGGCAGTAGCAATAATAATAACAGCAGTAACAACACTAATAGTAATACTAACACAAACTTGACAAATATTTAGCACTCGGGCTTCGGAGTTCACTAGGTCTCTGTCGTGCCTCCTCTCTTCTGATCCTTCCACAGCAGGAAGAGCTGGGACCACTTTTCTGATGAGGTACTTGTGACTTCAGATGATTAAGTGACTGGCCCAGCAAATTAGTGGCAGGGCTACAATTTGAACTCAGCACTCTTTCCACGCCGCACGTGGCTCCTTCATGGGGCTCAGTCTTTCAGAGCAGCCAAGAGTTCTCAAGGCTTTAGTGGGGAGCAGCTGGAATCAGCAGTGCCCCGGGAGGATTCCGATGGAAGTGGTGTGGGGTGGGGGTGGGGGGCTTCCACTGTCTGTTTGGGTCTTCGTATATCCGTCCCCTCGGAGCCTCCCTCCACCCCTGGTACCTGCCTCACGCTGGCCATGCTCTGGGGGGCTTTTAGACATTTGGCCAGGGGGTGGCAGAACTAGATCAACCCGTACCAGGTCTTAACCACGCCCACCTAGGGACATCGTGGGAATGTGCCTGCTCCAGTGGACAGAGAACAACGTCCAACTCTGTCTTGGGGATGTTCTGAGCTGGTCTCAGAGAAAATAGACGCAGCTACTGAGCGCACATCCTGAGGGCAGCAGACAGGACTCCCCAGCAGGGAGCTGGGCCCTCTCCCCATTCTCTCCTGCGGTCTGAGCCCTTAGGGGTCTGTCCTGGCCTTGTGGTGTGGTAAGGTAAGACACCTTACCCACAGAGTGACAGCATCATCCCTCCTTTCTCCCCTCTCCTGCTACGGAGTGACTGAGACATGAATTGGCGATCTTTAACATGTGCTAATGAGTGTTAGCTGAACCACCTTCCAAGAGGAGAGTGAAAGGCAAGGAGGTAAGTGAGAATGAAAAGGAGGTCGCTGGGGGAGAGGGGAACCCAGGAGGAGACAGAGAGAGGGTTGTCCCTTGGAGAGAGGGCCAAGCCCAGAGCGAGTCTCAAAGGGGCAATAGAGAATGCAGGTTCCAAAACCACTTGTTCTTTGCCTAGGGTGAATGTGTTTAGAGTTACTTGCAGGAACAGACTGGGGGGAGAAGTCATCAAAAGCTAGCTTTAGAGGTACCCATCCACCTTGCTGAGAGATTCACCAAAGCCCCTAGGGAGGCAGGATGACTCAGTGGTTAAGAGTAGGCACTCAAGAATCAGGCTGCTTGGGTGTGAATCCCAGAATAAGCTGTGTGACCTTGAGCAAATTATATAACCTGTCTCTGCCTCAGTTTTTCTCTTCTGCAAAATGGGCATGTGGGCATACGCCTTTTAGAATTGTTGGCTGGGTGCCGTGGCTCATGCCTGTAATCCTAGCACTTTGGGAGGCCGAGGTGGGCAGATCACGAGGTTAAGAGATTGAGATCATCCTGGCCAACATGGTGAAACCCAGTCTCTACTAAAAAAAAAAAAAAAAAAAAAAAAAAAAAAAAAAAAAAAAATTAGCCAGGCGTGGCGGTGCATGCTTGTAATCCCAGCTACTTGGGAGGCTGAGGCAGGAGAATCGCTTGAACCCGGGAGGCGGAAAGGTTGCAGTGAGCCAAGATCGCGCCACTGCACCCCAGCCTGGGCGACAGAGCGAGACTCTGTCTCTAATAATAGTAATAATAATAATAATATAATTGTTCTGAGGATTAAATGAGTTAGGGCTCCTGCCGCCCTTCATGGAGCCAGTGATCAGTGGTTGGCTTGGCAAGAAATTTCTCAGTCAGCATCACCTCCCCTGGGGTAGCTAATGAATGGATCCTGGAGGGGCTGACCCCAACGGGAGGCCAACGGGAAAGGCTAAGACAGATACTGTCTCCAGAACACAAGTTCTTAACCACTGCGCTGCACAGCCCCCCACGGGGCCAGGCTCAGCCCTGTGGGCTCTGACACCTGTCATTCAGGCCCCTGTCCCAAATCTGTGTTGGGTGAGAGAGCTCATCCCTGCTTCTCCAAGAAGCAAAGCCAGTGTCTCCATGCTACTTTGGTTTTCCTGGTGAGGAGTAAAGAGTGAAGCTCCTACTTCCTGCTTTCCAGAGCTGTTGAGATCAGGGGGACATGGTTCTGGGTATGACAGTAGGGTGGCCACAGTGACCTTTAAACTGTCTACTGGGACAGTCTTGCCTCGTTCATTTCAGATGCACAGTTGGTCTGTTTCTGGGAGGCCCATTCCTGGAGGACTGAGGAGCCCAAGCTGGTGCGTTTGTGGTTTATCTCCAAGTTGAGTCCTGCAGAAACAGCCACATTGAGCAGTTACAAGTTCCTGCCCTGGAGTCAGATAGATATGGGCTCAAAACCCTCTTGCTGGTTGTGAGGCCTTGGGCAAAGCTATTTAACCTCTTTGAACCTTTCTAAAACTCAAGGTAATTAGTTTCACAAAGTCAGTGGAAGCACCAAAAAGAATGTAATCAAGGGGTTAGCTAGCAAGAACCCCAGCAGCCGTAAGTGCTTAATTAATAGGCAGGTATTCTTACCAATGCAAGGATGTGAGGAGGGATTTTTCTTGTTGTTCTGAAATAGTGGCAGTTAGGCCACATCTGGAATCACAGCAATCAGATGCCTCGTGTCTTCCTGGCTTGCTCAGCCTGCCCGCCACCACCCACCAAGGCCAGGGATTATCAGGGGAGATGTCTGGGTGCGGGAGAGAGGAGCATTGGCCTTCTGGGAGTGCAGCATTTGTGGCTGTCCTGAAGTCAAGTTTTGTTGGAGGAACCCCCAGAAATCCCCTTCAGGTTGTGGGGGATTTCAGCAGCAAGGAGGAACTGGAGATGTCACCTGGCTCCAGAGTGGGCTGGGGTGAGCAGTGTTCTGGAGTTTGGGCCACATATGGAGTTGGGACTGGCGCTTGCTTCTGACTCAGAGCTGTCTGATGGCCTATGAAAGCAGCTTAGACTGCCCTGTCCTGCGTCTAGAAGGAAGATGGGAGCCACCATGGTTCTCGGCAGCCCTTGGGGGTTGCTATGGCTCCTGGGAAAGGTGCATATAGTTTAAAGAGGGGGCCGAAGCCAGATACCTGCTGGTGTTTATGATATCCTCGGTGTTGAGGAAGCTAGAGCGGAGCTGAAGACCGCTCCAAAAAACCTTCACTCCACTATGCACAGGCCCTCAAATTCCTCAGAGACCAGCAGCGGGAGCCAAAGCCTGGGATGCTCTTACAACCTGCAAGCGACCAGAGAGGTAGGAAGACCTCCCGCCCCTCATCTCTCCTTGCAGCTCCCTCTGCCCTACCAGGAGGGGATGTCTTAGAGCCAGCCATCCCTTCTCTCCAGGCTCAGCTCCAGACCCAAGCTCCTTGTCCAGTTTGCAATGGGAAAGGAGAAGAGCTTTGCATTGGAGAAGAGACTGGAGTCTTAGCTGGACTGGTCCAAGTTTCAATAACCAAATGTGTGAGGAGAAACATGGACTCAGATAAGAAATCATTCAGAGATAGGAAAGAGAGGTTCGATGAGCGTATTTTAAAGCAGTGACGGTAAAGACGGAACATTTATGAGCACATTTCCGTGAATTAAGGCTCTTGTAAGTAATTTCAGATGTCTGGGGTTCTGCTTCCCTTCCAGGACTTCCCCTCGAGTTTTATTACAATAATGATAATGATGATGATGACGACAATGATGGCGATAACCGTGAGGATACCTTTAAATGCCTTTACAGAGGGTTTTGATGTGTCTTGCTTTGTTTGGTCCTCACAACTCCCCTATCAGGTGTGCAATGCAAGAATTTGACCCATTCCAAAGATAGGGAAATCAAGGCTCAGAGAGATTAACACCCAACCAAGACCTGGGAGGGGTGGGGTACCAAGAACACTTTGTCCCCTCCAGTTTCCATGGTATATGGAGTCTTTGTGGACCAGGTGCCAAGCTCCTGGGCACTATGTATAAAGTTCTTCCCGGACCCTGGCCACTGGAGCCACAGGGCCCCTCCCAGCGTTAAGGAGTAATGCCAAGCCCACTGTTTACCCACCAGTTCTCTGATGGCTGGTTCCTCCCTCCACCAGAAGGGCAAACTGGGGACCACCTTCACTTTCGCATCCCCAGCCCACCAGCTCATTTGAGTGCTGTGATCTGACACCAAGGATTGGCAGGGAGACTTGCCCAACTGTCCCTCTGCCCCAGGACCCTAGAATCACTCCCTCAAGAAGGGAGGGAGGCTTGGTGACTGAAGTGGTGAGATGTCAGAGGACAGATGACAAACAACTTTCCAGCCAGGATCCACTGGGCTTCGGTAATTGGCTGAGCTCCTTAGAGCACCTGGTGTTATTTTGGAGCACTTCAAAGGAAAAAATACGAAGCCTGACCTGGTACCTCCCTATGCCTAGAAGTGTTTCTTCCAGATATTGCTTCTTTGGTTTTTATAATGGTCAGGCCTGGCTACCGGAGTGCTGGAGAGCTGGCCTTGCTTCCCAGAAAGGAGGATGAAAGGGATGCAGGAGCCCAGCAGTTTCCATGGAAACGGACTGAGGTGGTGGAGAAAATAGAGAAACCAGAGGAACCCAGAGGTGGAAGCAGGACTTGTGAATAACCCGGTCTGAAACTTGAGATCTATGGACAGCTCCCTCTGTGCAAAGGATTTGGGTCACCAGGATAGCAACAGGAGGTGAAATAGCAGTAGCTGGGGGCTGTTGGGTGATCCTCCCTCCGCAAGCAGGGACACAGGGGCTGAGGGCTCAGGCTCCAGAATTCCACAGGCCCCTTTCAGCTCCTGGATCTGCTTTTTATCGGCAGTTCTACTATGTGTTGGCTTTGTAATCCTGGGTAAGGTGTCTACGCTCTCTGAGCTTGTATTTCCTCATTGGTAAAATGGGGATAATCCTAGTAACTGCCTCACAGGCTTTGTGAGCATTAAGAGAGGTAATGCATGTTAAGGGTGATGCAAGGCCTGGAACAAAATAAGCATTCAAATGTTATTACAGGGGAGAAAACCGAAGGCAAGTGATGGTGAGTTTAATCCAAATGAGTGCAACCCATCTCCACCCTGGCCAAAGCAACTGGTTCAGGGATAGGCAATGAGACATCATATCCCAGAATGCAAAGGAGCTACTGGGACCTCCTGTCTATTTGCAGACAGTCTGGTGTGAAGCTGTGAGGTCTGGAATCACTGCAGCTATCTTGACACCATGAGTGCAGAGCCTGGAGTGAGGGAAATGGGAGAGAGCACAGAGTAGACACTGAGGTTGAAGCCAATGTTGCAAAAGGCAGAGCAGAGAGACTGCAAGAAGTCAGGTCACAAGTGACATCATTTGAACTGCTGGATCAAGCTGAGCCTGAAGTACCTTTGGACTTCTCAGTTGCACGAGTCAATATATACCCTTTAGTGTTCAAGCCCATTTATGGTAGGTTTTCTTTCATTTGCAACCTAAAAGACCTGACTGATAATCCATGAAGAGGACAGTTGTCCTCATGGGAGCTGGAAACAGGCAACCTTTTGGAACCAAATTTCTCTGTCCCTCTTTCTCTTAGAGCACAGGGCCACTCCTTCACAGATTGTCTCTGTGTGCACTGTGCCTCTATTTTCTTCTCTCCCTCCCAGCAGGCATCCTTACAACCTTGCCCTTTACAGTCACCAGCCACAACTTGTCCCCAAGACTCCTCTACCTTCCATTTCCCCTGACAGCCTTGCCTCTGTTTCCATATTCCAGACTCCCGAGAGAAAAATCTGGTTGGTCTAGCTTATCTTTTCATGTGAAGCCATTCAGATCATCAGCTGCTGTCCTGCCTTGCAAGGCCGCCTAGGGTTGGACACCCATCTCTTAGTCCAATCAGCTGTGGCTGGGGACAAGTCTCAGGAGGGCAGTGGGCAGCACAGAGAGGGGCCTATTTCCCTTAGGGACATCTATGGGCATGGTGAAAGTAACTGACACCTCTAGTGTTGGGTGCTCAACACAGAAAATTCAAACAAGCTGCGGAACATGTTTGCTTTAACATTGGGTGAAAAAAAAACATTCGGACAAACGAATTCAAATATAAAAGGGAGAGTCTGGGGGAAGGGTGTCATCTAAAACAGGAGTTGGCAAACTTTTTTTTTGTAATGGGCTAAATAGGAATTTTTTTTGAGGGGGGCTGCTTCGTGGGCCGTAGGTTCTCTGTCTCAACTACTCAACCCTGGTATTATAGTGCAAAAGCAGCTATAGATAATATGTAAACAGAGCAATATGACTCTGTTCCAATAATACTTCTTTTAGTAGTAGTAGTAATAATAATAATAAGAAGAAGAAGAAGAAGAAGAACTTGGTGGACCTAATTTGGCCTGTGGGACATAGTTTACTGGCCCTCATCTAGTAAATGAATTCTAGGTTCTCTCTAATCCTAATGAAACCTGTGTAGAAGGATTGTTGTAATGATTCCATAAAATAATCTATGCAAATTACCTAGCACCGTGATTGGCACAGGGTCGATGGTGTTGGCTGTTTTTGTTCTCTTTTTTGTCGAGTGGGCTCTCGGAATAACTGGGTTCCAGATCCACCAATGTGCTTGGCTAATCTGGAAGAGTCCCTTCATCTTCTCTGAGCTGAGCTGGAAGTTGATCATATCACTCCATATAGTGAGATGGGATTTCTAAGGAAAGGAGGTGGAGGACGAAGAGAAAGGTGCAGGCAAGGAGGACACAAGGAAATGTAGCGTGCATGAGTGCAAATCCACAGGGCGTCCGTGTGAGGCGGGCTTGGCTCTGCCTGGGGGCCTGGCAGGGAGCCCTGGGCTTGATTTGCAAACAAATTTGCTCTATTTCCTGCCAGAACAGGACTTCCAGGTGGCCAGGAATTTGGACTCCTTTACTAAGGATGGGAAAAATGTCCCTAGAGGGACAGTGCCCCACTTCCAGGATTCCCCAGAATGCAGCAGGAATGTGAGAATGAGATGTTCAAAGATAAGGGCTGCATTTCATTCACTCATGAATTCATTACAAATTTTATTCATTCATGCTGTGTAAAAAATATTGATTAGCCAGCTACTTTGTGCCAGGCACTGTACTAGCAAAACAGAAATGATTCCTCCTTTCAGGAGTTTAAAGTCCAGTGAGGGAGACAGACATTGATCAAACCACACAATCACACATATAAGTGAAAACAGAGTGAATATCAGGGAGCGACCGTATCTAGCATGAGTAGGAAGCCATCCTGAGAGTGAACTAACCAGGAGGAGGGAGGAGGTGAGCATTCCTGGATTTAAACCCCATGCACCAAGGCTCCGTGCTGGCAGAGCTGTAAGAAAGCCAGAGGGATGGGAGATCAGTGGGACGAGTGGGTGCATGGTGGAGGTGACCCTGGAGAGGTTGGCAGGGCCAGACGCTAGAGCACTGGGAGCTATCAAAGGGTTTTCTGCCAGCAACAAACATAACCAGGATTATGGTCTCCCTCTGGCTCCTGTGTAGGGGGTGACTAGCGAGGAGTCTAAGTGGACACAGGGAAACCTATCAGGTGACTCCTGAGACTGTCTGGGAAACACGGCCGTACCTGGGCCTCCAGAGGGGCAGTGGTCATGGAGCAAAGTGATCAGGAACTTTGTAGGCAGAAAATAGGATTTGGCCATGAGTTGGATATGGACAGTGAGGGAGAGGGCGATTCCCAGTTGGTATTGGCACCTGGGAGAAAAGCAGACACTGACTGAGATGGGCGATGCTGGCAGAGGACTAGATTTGAGAAGGATACACCCTGCATTTGTTGGATGTGTTGAGTTTGAGTTGTCTTTGAATCAATCTACTGTGGACAAATGTTTGTATCCCTTCAAAATTCAGATGTTGAAAGCCTAACCCCTGATACGATGGTATTCAGAGTGGGGTCTTTGGGGCATGATTAGATTATGAGGGTGGAGCCCTCATGAATAGGCTTAATGCCCTTATAAAAAGAGGAAAAGGCAGGGCGTGGTGGCTCACGCCTGTAATCCCAGCACTTTGGGAGGCCGAGGTGGGCGGATCACAAGATCAGGAGTTCAAGACCAGCCTGGCCAACATGGTGAAATCCCATCTCTACTAAAAATACAAAAATTAGCTGGGCTTGTTGGCGCACGCCTGTAGTCCCAGCTACTCAGGAGGCTGAGGCAGGTGAATCGCTTGAAGCTGGGAGGCGGAGGTTGCAGTGAGCTGAGATCATGCCACTGCCCTCAAACCTGGCGACAGAGCTAGATCCCGTCTCAAAAAAAAAAAAAAAAAAAAAAAAAGGAAGAGACACAGAATCTCTTTCTGTGCCCTCTGCCATATGAAGATACATGAAGATATATGAAGATACATCTGCAAACTAGGAAGTGGATATTCACCAGACACTGGATCTGCTGGCATCTTGAAATTGGACTTCCCAGCCTCCAAAACTGGGGGAAATAAGTTTGTGTTGTTTGAGCTACCCAGTCTATGGTATATTTGTTATAGAAGTCTGAGCTGACTACAACATCATCTAAGGGAATGCATAGACCAGGCAGGGGGATTTATGGAGCCAGAGTTTGGAGGAGAGGTCTGGGCTAGAGAGGTAAATTTGAGAACCCCTGGGTGTTGAAACTGCACCTGGCCTAGCCTTACACACTTGGCTGGTTTTACCTCGGGGGTCCTCAGGTGCTATCTCCAAGCCCATTTCCCACTGCTCCCATGCCCAGTAGCTACTCAGGGCAGAGGCAATGGCTCCAAGGTTGAAGGTGTCCGTAGCTTTGCTCTTCAAGTTTCAGATCCATGAGTCTCACTAAAAGAGAAAGTAGTTCCTTCTAAGATGGACATGTTGGCTAGAACCATAAATGGGCAAGTTTAAGATATTTCTTCACCCCATCTGCCCTTCCCTTGAGGAAGATCAGATCAATTACAGTAAAACAAAGGAACGATATTTTCTTTGCACGTCTAACGGAGTGAATCTGTGACCCTACTGTGCCCAGTCTTATTTGTCTCCCCAGCTAGAATGGAGGTAGGTAGGACCTTGTCTACCTTGTCTATTTTGCTCATCACTTTTCTTCTTAGCTTGCAGCACCATTCATGGCCCAAATGCACTCAAGGGATAATTGTTTTGTTTTGTTTTTGTTTGTTTTTTGTTTTGTTTTGTTTTTTTGAGATGGAGTCTTGCGTTGTCGCCAGGCTGGAGTGCAGTGGTGCGATCTTGGCTCACTGCAACCTCTGCCTCCTGGGTTCAAGTGATCCTCCTGCCTCAGCCTCCCAAGTAGCTGGGACTACAGGTTTGTGCCACCACGTCCAGCTAATTTTTTGTACTTTTAGTAGGGACGGGGTTTCACCATGTTGGCCAGGATGGTCTTGATCTCTTGACCTTGTGATCCGCCCGCCTTGGCCTCTCAAAGTGCTGGGATTACAGGCATGAGCCACCGTGCCCAGCCGAGATAATTGTTGAATGAATGAAAGACTGAATGAAGATCACAGGAGTGGAAAAGGATGTTTCTGTGTATAGAGTCGAGACCCTTCTGGAAGCTCTAGAAATGACCCCTTGCACGCACCGGGACAGCTCAGCTCCTGTTAAGCAAGTGCCTGGCAGCAAGCCCACTTGGGCTGCCGTCCGGAGGGCAGCTGCTTGCCCTGCTGGGGGCCTCGGCACCGTCTGGTCAGGAGGAGCTGCCTGCCTCATAGCTGCTCCCTGAGCTGCCTTCCCGAGCACGTCAGTGGGAATCCCCTGACAGGCAGGCCACAGGAGGGGGCAAGTGGTGAGCAGGCCGAGCTCGGAAGAAGCCAAACTGGGGTGCTTCCTGGAGTCTGCAGATTGGCCGTCATTGCCGATGGTCTGATACGAGAGCCAGAAGCCTAGGCCCGGCTCAGCCCACCAGGTAGAAGATCAAGAGGGAAGAGAGGAAGACAGAGGTGGAGGGTAGGAAGGAGAAAGGCATAGTGATTTTCGAGGGACTGCGGAGCCAGTTAGTGACACCTGGGTCTCCTGGGTCTCCCACTCACAGGAGATGCCAATGATACCTGCCAAGCTCCCCTCTGACAATCGTGCACCATTCCCCGGCTGCTGTGGGTGTTGGGTGCCAAGGCTCAGACCTGGACCATTCTCCGGAGAATTGTCACCTTGCACAGAGGTGCTCCTCCCACCCCAACCATGGGACAATCCATAGCCAATTACTGATGTATAAGAGGTATAGAGGCTGAGCGCCTTGCCTTGAGGTGGGGAAACCCTGCAGTACCCTTCATGCCCCAGAGCTTCCCATGGGATCCGGCTGGGGCCAGACTTCAGCAGAACCTGCACCTCTACTTCTTCCTTGCCCAGCCTTCTCCTATGTCTCTTTACATACTTTAGAGCCCTTCTATGATAACACAACTGCACAAGACTTTTCCAACAGACCCAAGACATTCTCTCAGGCTAAAATTTGTCTCTCACCACTTGTTGAAGCCCTAACCCTTCATTTAGAACCCAAGTTTCTGAAGCTTCCAGAAACATGCATTTTCACATACAGGCAGGTGCCCCTACATCTCTTCACATCAGTGGCATGCCAACAAAGCATTCTCACACCACCCTTTATCCACTGTATGAACTTGGACTAACAATTTGACTTCTCGGAGTTTCTATTTCTGCATCCAAAGACCTGGAATCCTAATACAGTCTTGCAGAATGGCTGTCAGACAGGGAGAGGCGGGGGTGCCCGGTGACAAAGAACCTGGCTTTAGAGTCACACACAGACCCGCCCAGCTCTGTGACCTTGGGTGCTGTGAGCTTCTCTGGCCTCCGTTTTCTCATCCATGAAATGAAGTTAATAATAGCACTGAAGCCGTAGGTGCCTGAACGCACTGGTTGCGTGCAAAGCACTTCACACGGAGCCTGGCCCACTTAGTGAATACGAGCCAGAGAGCTTAGCTCTCGCCTGGCACAGACTAAGTACTCAGTAAGAAGTGAGTATTGTATTTTTATTAATGGGAATGATATGTGTAAAGTCAGGTGGTAATAATGACAACAAATAGTCTTTGGATTCGTGAGAGGTGCCTGAAGAGTGTCCCAGAAGTGTAGCAGATGGACCTGATGAGGCCTGATGCATGGGATGTGGGCTGGGGAGTGGCAGGCAGATGGGGCCCACCTGGGCTCACTTCTCAGTCAACTGGTGTGAACCCTACGGCCACTGTTCTGCGGCAGCCCACCGCCGGTGGCTTACCTGCACGCCAGCCATTTGTCACCCTGTCATCACCTCCACACTTGAAAGCAGATCCCCAGGGATTGTGGACAAAGCACACAGAACAAGGAGCCACTTTTTTTCCCTCTAGGCCTGGAGAAGGGAAGGCAAGGATGGCACCCAGCAAAGAAAGACCGACGGCTTGTCCTTAGGGAGAGGGCATCTCAACAAGATGGGAAAGGGGTCAGGGCTCACAGGCAGATCCAGCCACCTCGTGTGTGTGTGTGTGTGTGTGTGTGTATGTGTGTGTGTGGTCTGCAAGCTAAGAATGGCTTTTGCATTTGTAAATGGCTGGAAAAAATCAAAAGAGGAATAATACTTTGTGAACATTATATGAAATCCAAATTGCAGTGTCCATAAATAAAGTTGTTTTGGAACACAGCTGCCCTCATCCCTTTGCTTATTGTTTCTGGTCACTTTTGTGCTACAATGGCAGGCTGAGTGGTTGCAACAAACTCTATGGCTTGCAAAGCTGAAAGCATTTACTATCTGGCCATTTTCAGATGAAGTTTGCTGACTCCTGACTAAGAGCATTGGGCTGACCAAGATTGGGTGGAAAGGAAAGTCACATCCCTCCTGCCTACGGTCCCCTCTCTCCCCACCCCTGCCAAAAATTCCATACCTTTTCAGTAAGCTTTCTCTTCGAATCATTGGTATTTTCTTAACATCTGGCTGATGCAGAGGGAAGTATCTGATTAATAAATTCGCACTAAGGTGTTGGTGACTTCATGTATTGCACCCTCCTTGTCCCAGGAGGTTGGACTATAGGAATAAATCTTTCAGTGGTGGCATTTGAGGAACTGTGGAATGTATCTGATTGTACGTGTGTGCATGCACATGTGCAACACACACACACACAGAGGGAGAGTGATTTGTAATTATAAAGGGTGGAAGCTTGGATGCTTCAGGGCCCAGGACCAGAGGAAATAGAGAAGTAGATTCTGTGGGGATGAACCATCTGGGAATGGGTAGTATGCAAGCCACATTATTGACTCCCAGAACCTCTAAGGGCAGGTTAGAAAAGGTGCCTTCCTTCTTGATGTGAACTCTAAGCTTCTATGGGCTGGGCATGGGAGCTCGTGTCCGTAATCTCAGCTCTTTGGAAGGCCGAGGCAAGAGCATCCCTTGAGGGCAGGAGTTAAAGACCAGCCTAGGCAACATAGCAAGACTCCAACTTTACACAAAAATTTTTTTAAATGAACTAGGCGTGATGGTGCACACCCATAGTCGCAGTCACTCAGGAGGCTAAGGCAGAGGATCGCTTGAGCCCAGGGGTTCGAGGCTGCAGTGAGCTATGATTGCACCACTGCACTCCAACCTGGGCAACAGAATGAGACCCTGTCTCTAAAAAAAAAGAATCAAAAATCGAAAAAAAGCAAATAGAGTGATGAGTACACAAAAAGGCAAACTTTACCACTATGCAATATTTCCATTAACACAATTTCACTTGTATCCCTAAATCCATAAAAATGCA
Organism: Homo sapiens; assembly: GCF_000001405.40. Taxonomy (NCBI): domain Eukaryota; kingdom Metazoa; phylum Chordata; class Mammalia; order Primates; family Hominidae; genus Homo; species Homo sapiens. Next base: position 213,321 of record NW_013171813.1, on the reverse strand, counting down.
CAATTAAAAAAATAACAAATAAATCAACCTCTAGTACAAACCTCCCTTGATAGCACTGGGAGGTCTGGGAATCTGTGAACAAGTCATGACAATGGGGGTACTGCTCCCCCAAGGAGGTGGCCAGGAGGCCAGCCCCCCTTGGCTTGGCCCAGAGGACAGGTGACAGCTGGCTTTGTGCCCTTGCTGGCCTTGATGCTCACTGTGCGGGTCTTTGGTGCCCTGGGTGCCAGCTGCTTGCCTTTCCCCAGCGGTGCACTTTTGTCCTCTTCTCTCTGCTGCCTGCATCTGAAGGTCAGTCACAGCCCGGGATTGGGGCCAGGTCAGCCTGGCTACCGCAGTTCAGCATCACATAGACTGCGGCATCAGCCATTCTTCCTACAGGGCTTAATTGGCTGGACAGCTGCAGTAGGCTGTCACTCCAGCCTGCCACCTCTAGCCTCTGTTCTCTAAGTTGTGCTCTCAACCAAAACCAGGACGATTGTTCCAAAATGCCAGTCTCACTGCAGAACTCCTCGTTTAGAATCTTTGTTGGCTCTCCATCCCTGAGGGTGTACTCTCCTCCTCCCGGCCTCATCTCCCCCTACCACCCCTCTCAGTCTTCACTCCACCTCCGCGGAACTCCTCGAGGCTGCCGGAATGTGCCCATTGTTTCCCACCGCCTAGCTTTTGTGTTGCTGTGACCTGTGTTGGAAAAATCTCTTTCCCCAACTTGGCAACTCCCACCCCTCCTTCAAGATTCCCCAGAGCCTCCTTCTCTGACCTCCCCGATAGGATGACTGACGAGGGCTCTGTTAGAAGTTCCTGCTAGTTACATGCTAGATACCCCAATGACCCCTGTGACCCCAAACTCAGTACACAACCAGCTTCCAGACACATCCAGCTTCCTCTTAGTGAGTGCTTTCTATGGGGTTGGTGCTGGGCTGAGTACTTGTCTGGGTGATCTCATTTCATTCCCAGCTGCAAAGTGGGCCTCAGATACTTCCCACCCCTAAGGCTGTGGCAAGGAGTAAACAAGGGAATGTATGTTGGCCCAAGACCTTGTCCCTGTAAAAGCGTCATAAATTGGAGGAGTGATTAACAGCTGAAGCCAGCCCATCAGAGTTCTGCCCGGATCCCCTGCAATCCCGGTTACACGTTCTGGGCCTCCCCACTGAGCTTCCGTGGCTTTTGCTCCTCCCAGCTCACACCTGCTGCCTCTTCAGGGCCTGCCTGAGTCACTTCACCTGCACGGGACCCAGAAGGTCTCCCACAGGAGCAGGCTGGGGCAGGACTTTGCCTGATATCACACCTTTGGTGGCCTCTTTTCTTTCACTGTCCTGCCTCCCTTGCTTTCTCCTTGGCGTCTCCTGGTCGCACTTGCTTGGTAAGTCGTTTATACCCAAATCCTCATCTCAAGCTCTGCTTCTGGGGATCTGATCTAAGGCAGGGTTGGCAAACTTTTTTGTTAAAGGGCCGGATGATATTCTACACCTGGCACGGTGGCTCACACCTATAATCCCACGACTTTGGGAGGCCAAGGTGGGCAGATCGCTTGAGCCCAGGAGTTCGAGACCAGCCTGGGCAACATGGCAAAACCATCTCTACTAAAAAATACAAAAATTAGCTGGGTGTGGTGGCACATGCCTGTAATCCCAGCTACTTGGGAGGCTGAGGTGGGAGGATTGCTTGAGCCCAGGAGGTCAAGGCTGCAGTGAGTCATGAATATGCCCTGCACTCCACCTGGGCAACAGCGTGAGACCCTAAATCTCTCTCTCTCTCTGTCTCCTCTCTCACTCTCTACATATATATATATATATATATATATATATATATATATATATATATACACACACACACACACATATAGTATATGTATATTCTAGGCTTTGTGGGCCATGTACTCTCTGTCACAACTACTCAACTCTGTAGCACAAAAGCAGCCATATGTAAATGAATCTGCATGGCTGTGTTCCAATAAAACTTTATTTATAGAAAGAAGAGGTGGGCCAGATTGAGTCTGAGGGCCATAGATTGCTGACCTTTGACTGAAGACAACACCCCTGGAAGCTTAGTGCTCTAAAGGTGAAATAGCCCACCCAAGGTCACACACTGGTGAGCAGCAGGGCCACAGATTGGCTCGGAAGCTCCTCTGCTGAAATGCCACCTGCAGCAGGGGTTTAGTACGCTGTGGTCCGTGAGTGGCTCCAGGTGTCTCCAATGATGAAAGAAACAATGCTGCAGGTGAGAAAGTTCTGACTGGCTTAATTAGAAGGAAGGGTAGCAAATATATGAGGGGGTGAACGCATCTTCCCCTAAAGCTCTGGGTAATTTCCACTAAATTATTAATTGGTTCATTTGCCTTCCTAGAGCACTGGGTGGACTGAGAACTCCTGGAATCCTTTATGAAACCAAATGTGTTGGAAAGATTTTAAAAATAGCACCAGGCCCTTTGACAAGTCTAGTGCTAATTACCCTGAAGCTCTGGCACTCCTGCTGATGTGCCACCGAAGCTTCTGCTGCGATCCTGCACCCTCCCAAGCCCCAGCTTTGCATCGTGAAGTCTTTGTTGAGAAGGGAGGTGAGGCTACCAGTATGTCCTAAATTTTCCAGCTCTGGCCAGGGAGCTGCCTCATTATAGGGGTCTCCAACCTGAATGGGACTTTAATGGTGATGTGCAGAACTTCATTTTCTGCACACGTTGGAGCGTAGGATGGGGGCGTAGAGGAGCTCAGGTCCCCTGTGCCCAGTGGCCGGCCAACCTGGAAAGCTTTCTGGTGAACTGTGTGTGTGCACGTGTGTGTGTTCATGTGCACATGCAAATTTTTTCTTTGCAAAAATCATTTATTTATTTTTTTTTGAGACAGGGTCTTGCTCTGTCATCCAGGCTGAAATGCAGTGATGTGATCATGGCTTACTGCAGCCTTGACCTCCCAGGCTCAAGCAATCCTCCTACCTCAGCCTCCCAAGTAGCTGGGACTACAGGTGCTTGCCACCATGCCTGGCTAAGTTTTTCATATTTTTTGTAGAGAGGGGGTTTTGCCATGTTGCCCAGGCTGGGCAAAAATAATTTATATTCATTGTAGAAAATATTGCTAAGCAAAACCAAGATGTACCACCCACAATCCCACTCCTTGGGTTAGCCGTTTTTAACATTTTCGTTTATTTTTTTCCAGTCTTTTGCCTCTGCATACATTTACATATTATTTATTACAAAAAATGAGATTGTACTATATGTATTGCTTAGTTTCAATGACATATTTTGACCATCTTTCCATGTCGTTGCACACTCTTCTACAATGTCTTTTAAAATGACCATACATGATTCATCCTTTGCATGTGTGTATTATAACTTTATTTTCCAGTTGCCTATTATTAAGGAGAAGCTGTTGTTTCCAGTCATTTTGCTATTATAAACAAAGTAGCTAGATCTTTGTTCAAGTTCCTGAAGATCTTCTTACATTTTTAGGTGTGGAGTTGCTGGGATTTAGGGGAACTTTGCGGGAGGTTGGAATCTTATTGATCTGTTCTAAGTTATCCATAGCTCCTTGGCACAGACACTCTAAGGAAATAATTAGAGGCACATGATTAAAGATCAAGTGGCTGGGTTTGAATCCCAGCTCTGCCTAGCAAAGGTTTGGGACCCTGGGCATATTCCTGAACCTCAGTTTCTTCATCTGTAATATGGGAACAACAGTACCCCACCCTGTCGTGTTGCTATGAGGTTGATGTGACCGCCTGGCCCATCTCCGACCTGGTTCTCCAGCTCTCACCTTGTCCCTACTCCCCAGCCTCACCAACGCAACATGGCAGCGGCTTGTCTGCCACAGGACCTTTGCACTTGCTGTTCCCACAGTGTGACACCTTCTTCCTCCAGATTCCATGTAGCTCTCTCCCTCCCCTCACTCAGGTCTCAGCTCAGATCACCCCTTTTCTAACCCTCTTCCCTTGCCATCATTCTCTATTACTTTACTGGGCTTTATTTTTCTTAGACTAGTTGTAATCTCTTGTCATCTTACGTATCTATTTGGTTTTGTCTATCCCCCCCTTCCCAAGAATATAAGTTCCTTGAGGACAAGGAGTTTATTTTTTTCTAGGGCCATGTCAGCAGTATCTGAATTATATTGCCTGTTGCATAGAAGGTGCTCAAACATGACTTTAATTTTTTTTTCCCTGAAGCAACTAAATACTAAATATCTGCTTTGTTTTCTCTGTACCTATTGCTAATACTTTCCACACTCACAAAGACTCTATCAATATAATTTCCTACAATGTTCAATTTGGTAGTTGGGTTCTCCCCCCTCCATCCCCATCTAGAGACCCCTGTTGAAGGAGAAGTTTAGTTACTCTTTAAGCTGGCTACAAAGCCATCATTCTCTGATTTTTTTCTTTCTCTTCTTCTTCTTCTTTTTTTTTTTTTTTTGAGAAAGGGTCTTGCTCTGTTGCCCAAGCTGGAGGGTAGTGGCATGATCTCAGCTCACTGCAGCCTCCGTGTCCTGGGTTCAAACGATTCTCATGCCTCGGTCTCCCCGGTAGCTGGGATTATAGGCGAGCACCACCATGCCTGGCCAATAGAGATGGGGTTTCGCCAGTTTTGAGTCTCGAACTCCCGGCCTCAAGTGATCCACCCACCTTGGCCTGCCAAAGCGCTGGGATTACAACTGTAAGCCACTGTGCCTGGGCCTAAGTTTTTGTTTTTTTTCAAGACAGGGTCTCATTTTGTCACCCAGGCTGGAGTGCAGTGGTGCAATCATGGCTCACTGCAGCCTCAACCTCCTAGGCTCAAGTGATCCTCCCACCTCAGCCTCCTGAGTAGCTGGGACCACAGGCAGGCACCACTACTCCTGGCTAATTTTTAATTTTTTGTAGACACAGGGTTTCACCATGTTGCCCAGGCTGTCTTCAAACTTCTGGGCTCAAGCAGTCCTTCCCACTTCAGCCTCCCAAATTGCTGGGATTAAAGGCGTTAGCCACTATGCTCACTCTCAAACATGATTTTAGAAATGAATGGATTTTGCATGGGAAGTACTGAGCACAGTGCCACTCCTGGGTTCATGTGCAATAAACTGTTATTCATCCCCTAGAAGGGCTGGATGGAATGATCTGGAAGTTGCCATGGCATGATCCTGTAGATCTAGGCAGCAGAGATGCTCTGAGCAGACAGGAGGTGGGAGGGCGGGGGATGTCCTGTTTGATTGCTTCTCCAGCTCATGGTTGAATAGGCAATGGGGGGCTGTGGCCACGGTGCCCCACCCCTTACCCTCTTAGTTCCTTTCTTCTTGAGGATACTACCCCTTCTCCCTCAAAACACAGAACCTCCTCTTAGCTACTTCTCAACTAATCTCTTCCTGGGCTGTTCCACTTTAAATGGAAGCCAGGCAACCAGACGCCCGCAGAGAAGCGAGGGACCTTCCTTTTTCTGTCCCAGCGTTCCTCTTGAGCTGCAATTCTTCTTGTCTTTGCCTTCATCATTCATTCTGAGCCAGTGACTGAGCTACTCTTTTTTTTTTTTCTTCCTTTGAGATGGAGTCTCACTCCCTCGCCCAGGCTGGAATGCAATGGTGCAGTCTTGGCTCACTGCAACCTCTGTCTCCTGGGTTCAAGTGATTCTCCTGCCTCAGCCTCCTGAGTAGCTGAGATTACAGGCATGAGCCACCATGCCTGGCTAATTTTTGTATTTTAGTGGAGACGAGATTTTACCATGTTGGTCAGGCTGGTCTCGAACTTCTGACCTCGTCATCCGCCTGCCTTGGCCTCCCAAAGTGCTGGGATTACAGGAATGAGCCACTGTGCCCGGCCAACCGAGCTACTCTTGAGGTAACTTGGATGGAATGCTCTTCTCCCTGTCTGGGCTTTTTCATACGTGCCTTTGCCCGGGGCCCTTTCCTCCTTCCTACGCACTCCTCACCCCATCCCAGCTAACACCTGCTCAGCCCTCAAGACTCAGGTTTCACCAGGAAAACACCCTTGACTCCATGCCTGGGCAGGTGACTCCACAGTTCCCACACATCTGCTCTCATGGTTTTTATTTTATTATTATTATTATTATTATTATTTAAATCACACCGGGTTGCCATTGTCTGCTTTTTTATCAGCTTCCTCATCAAAATTGCCTTGGTGACCACGGGAACACAGCATTCGTCACCATTTAACCTCAGTACCTTGCTCGACACAGAGAAGGTGCTTGATGTTATCTAGTGAATGAATGGATGATGATGACATAGGCCCTACCAGTGTCAGCAGGAACGTTTTCTGGGTGGGATGCCTGTTCATAGTGCATTGGTGGCAGGACCTGGAGTCTCTCTCTCTCAGGCCAGGCGCTATCCATGGTTTCTGGATAAAGCATCCTTTGTGTCTGGGGGAGTGACATCCTCTGCTCAGCGACAGACCCCATCAGATTCAAATGTTTTCAGCCAGTTTCTATAAATGGGAACGTTTTGATTGGACAGCAGCTGCCATGGTAACTGGCTGATTTTTAGAACGTGGGGACTGGGGACAGACAAGAGACCAGGTATCTTTGAAGAGGCTCTTTTTGAATTATTCCGGTGTTTGGAAGCTCATCAATGAGAACTGACTTTGCCCAAGTGCCCCATGATTGCAACGCTCAGTGCTTTCCTCTCTCTGGGCAGGGGTCTTAAGTGCTTTCATGGGTCATATTTGTGGTATTTCCAGCTTATCCTCTTGGATCCCAGGTTGTTTGGGGCTCAGATGAGGCAGGCTGAGATCTTCTTTGGTATACCAAGGTGATAAGATTGGCAAGGAGGTACAGAAAAACGAGGAGAGGAAGGTCACTTTCACTTTTAATATTTTGCTCCAAACATCCAAATGACCCTCCAGACTCCCTATCTGGAGCTTTATTAAGTGGCAGGACAATGCTTTTGAAGCACTAACTAATGTTATTTCCCCAGTGGAATTTATTTTCCCCATTCAGAGTGTGTGGCTATGTGGTCAACATTTCTGCAGCACATACAGCTGTGCATACCCATACAGCTGTTCAGGTTGTGCACTGAATAAGTCCACCCAGGCTTTGTGCACAATACTTCCTGAAATTGCACAACATGGTAGCCCTGGTAAGGGATGTGGTAACAAAGGTAAAGGGGTGATGCTTCCAAGATTTTGCATACAAAATCCTGGCCTTAAGGGGAACAAAAGGAACTGGTAGCATAGATTATTGGTAGCGTTATTATTATTATTATTATTATTATTATTATTATGTCATCTACTAACAGATGTAAATATAAATAACATATAATAAAAAGAATGAGAGATATTGGCCAATTAAGAACAAGGATACCTTAGCCCAGTCTACATAAAGGTTCCTTGGGCTGTAGAAAGGAGAAGCAACAAGTGTATAGAAGTTAGTGGTTCATTGAGAAGAGGATCCTGCACTTTGCTCCCTGGGTCAAATCCAGGTTAGAGCAGGTGGATATGGCAAAAATCCTCAGGTCAGTTTGTGGAATCTAAGAGTCATGGTGACTCATTTCCCGTTTCCTGGGTGGAGCTCCAGAAAAAGAAAGGGTTGTATGGTAAATCCAATCTAAACAGTCAGGGCCTCTGAGGGTGTAGCCTGGTGGGATGAGTTCAGTGCTATGGATATGGCATCAGAGCTGGCCAGGGAGCTGCGGAAACTGAATGACCCCATGGCCAGAATGAGCCATGACTTAGCAGCCTTCTGTGAGACCCAGCAATGAGGGTGGCTGAGGTGATGGCTGAATCAGATCTCCCTGTACCCCCACCCCTCAACGCTCCTGGGAACTTAGAAGCGTATGTGGGGAAGTGGTGTTGGGGGTCATCACTTTGGCCAAGATTTGGCATGTGTTTTCTGGTGCAATGAGAGATCAGAACAGATTAAATTGTAGTAAAGAAAAATATGGTCATGTTTCTTGCAGTCCTCAGTCTTGGATGCAAGATTTGCTCCCACAACAACAAGCTGCCTTGAGATTCTCCAAAAGAGGCCTGCTTGGGTGTCACTGGCTTATACTAGTGATTTGTCCACCAGACTGCTGCTCAGAATCACCTGGGAAGCTTTGCCAAAACAGGTGCTTGGGCCTCACTTCAGACGTAGAGAATCAGAGTATCTGCAGGTTGGGGCTGGCCCATGCTAGCTGTTGGATGGATCAGTGCCTGCAAAGTAGCTAGTTGGAATCTTGGCTGAATTTGCTCTGTGCTTTTGTGAAAATTTCTTTCTCTTTTCCTATTTCCTTATCCATTAAATAGGTAAATCCTATCTCTTTTTGTAAATGACTCTGAACACTCAGAAATTATTCAGAGGAAAGATCTTAAAAGAAACATAGCAATGCTGTTCACTTAAAAGCATTTCGTGATTACTGTTTAAAAGCAGAAACCTTTCTTTGCCATTTGGCAAAGGACTCTTTTCGTTCATATTTTTATATTTTATTTATATTTATTATATGTTATTTATATTTATATCTGTTAGCAGATGATATAATGATAATAATGATAATTTTTGAAAAACTAGTTATCTATCGGGAGAGGGAAGGAACAGGTGAAGGGAACAGGGACAGAGGCTAGACTTCTTGGAAAGTACCCTTTTTTTTTTTTTTTCGAGACAGAGTCTCACTCTGTTGCCCAGGCTGGAGAGCAATGGCGTGATCTTGGCTTACTGCAACCTCTGCTTCCTGGGTTCAAGCGATTTTCCTGCCTCAGCCTCCTGAGTAGCTGGGATTACAGGCGTGCGCCACAACATCCAGCTTATTTTTGTATTTTAGTAGAGATGCGGGGTTTCACCATGTTGGTGAAGTTGGTCTCGAACTGCTGACCTCAGGTGATCCACCTGCCTCAGCCTCCCCAAGTGCTGGGATTACAGGCGTGAGCCACTGTGCCTGGCCTGGAATGTACCTTTTCTGCAAATTTGACTCCCATGATTACAAAACATAATTAACTCAAAAATGAAAATAACAATCCCTGAACCCCAAAAGAAATGTGAAACAAGCGAACCTAATTGTGTGTCCAGTTGGAGGCACACAAACAGAGATAATTTCAAATGACTTTTAAAACACAGTAATTTAACTGTGCATATGAAGTGAAATACATTCTGAGGACAAAAGAACTAAAAATCAACTATTGTCAGTAAAAATATCATTGGAAATAACATTAACATTATTATTCCAAGACTATTTCACACACACAGACATATAGTAAAATAAAGCAAGTAGATAATGATGTAATTAGAAACCAAGATTTTCAGCATAAAAGAGATGCAAATATAAAATTAAAGAGTTCAAGTAAAAGTTCTGTAATTTAAATTTTGAATTAGAAATATCTGCTTAAACTTACACTGTAGCTTCTGTTTTAAACATACACACACAAACACACACATACACACCGTTTGTATTTTCTAGTTCTGTAAACCCAAGAAGTCCTAGAAGCAGTGACCAACTCTATAGCGATGAGAAATCCAGAATCCAGTTTATAGTCTCCAAATACCATTTCTTACAAAAGTAGGATGTTTGAACAATATGCAATGTGTAGACTTCATTTTGGACTTGATTTGAATACAACAACTATATTGAAACATTTATAAAATGATGGAGAAAAATTGAAGGCCAATTTGATATTTGATGAAATTAAGGAATTATGAGAATTGTATTTTGGATATGTTCTTAAAGTGGTACATTATATTTTTAAGATATATACTGACATATTCACAAATGACACATCTTGGATTTGTTTCAAAATAATTTAGTAGGGCCCGTTAAAAAATGGGCAAAAGACATGAACAGACACTTCTCAAAAGAAGACATGCAAGCAACCAACAAACATATGAAAAAATACTTCACATCACTAATCATCAGAGAAACGAAAATCAAAACCACAATAAGATACCCTATCACACCAATCAGAATAGCTATTATAACAAAGTCAAAGAAAGAAAAAAAACAAAACCCCACAGATGTTGGTGAGACTGTCGGTGGGAACGTCACAGTGGAAAGCAGTACAAAGATTTCTCAAAGGACTTAAAATAGAACTACCATTCAGCCCAGCAGTCACATTATTGGGTATGTATCCAAAAGAAACAAATCATTCTACTAAAAAGACACATGCACTCACTGCAATGTTCATTGCAGTACTGCTCACAATAGCAAAGACATGCTCAACCTAGGTGCCCATCAATGGCAGACTAAATGAAGAAAATGTGGCACATATACACCATGGAATACTACACAGCCATAAAAAAGAATGAAATCATGTCCTTTACAGCAACATGGATGGAGCTGGAGGCCACTATCCTAAGCAAATTAATGCGGGGGCTGAAAACCAAATACTACATGTTCTCACTTATAAGTGGGAGCTAAGCACTGGGTGCTCATGGACATAAAGATGGCAACAGTAGATACTGGCAACTCAAAAATGGGGGAGGGAAAATTACAGGGTTGAAAAACTAACTGTTGGGTACTATGCTCAGTACCCGGGTGATGAGATCATTTATAGCCCAAACCTCGGCATGATGCATTAAACCCATGCGTGCACAGGCACCCCCTGAATCTAAAATAAAAGTTGAAAAATAATAATCCAGTAGGCATGGGGGATAATTGGGTGGGTGTGTAGGAGAAAAAAGGACGTAATGTGTTGATCATTGTTGAGGTTACATGGGGGTTCATTATACTATTCTCTGTAATTTAGTGTATGTTTGAAAATTTCCATCAAAAAAAAATTTCTTCTAGAAAGAGAAGAAAAGGAGGAGGAGGAGAGGGAGGAAGAGAAGAAAGTGGGGAGTGCATTTTGTAGACCCTCAAGTTGAAAGCATTTTGGGTTGTCCACCAAGAAAGAAGGCGGGCAGCTCCAAGGAGCACAGCCACTTCCCTCTGCACCAAAGGTCATAGTGCCCCCTGGGCAGAGAAACCCATGATTGGTGAGTTAAGTAGTGATTCAGAAAATGTGGCAGTGAATTGAATAATCCACTTTCAGGCAGGTGGCTGAGCTGGCCTGGTGGAAGACAAGCTGGCCCAAGCAGGAAAGGGGGGCCAGCTATGGGTCCTGACCCCTCTTTTCTCTGGCCATGACTTTTAAAGGAAACAAATTCTAGTTTTAAGGTGGATTGGTCCTGCTTAGAAGGTAACAGCTGGGAAGGTGTCAACTGAGTCAGGTTGAGGAGGTCGTTGTGTGATTCCAGATTTAAAATATTTTATAACACTAATGAATTTTTTTATATTAGGAAAATAACATTCTTAAAAAACATAATGTTGAGAGAAAGGTGTCAGACCCAACAGAACACAGACGATGTTATTCCATTTATATAATGTTCAAAATGAGCAGAATTAACCTACATTTTTTTGAGATACATGATTAGATGGTGATTTTAAAGGAAGACAAGGGCATGACGACTTGGCAGTGAGAACGGTTATCTTTACGTGGGAGGGAGCTGTGATCAGACAGGGCTCCTGGGGTGCTGATATAGACGATGGTTCCATGGGGTTTATTCTATGGTATATTAAGCTATAAATTTATGCTTTATGCTTGCTTTCTAAATGTGGTATGTTTCACAATATAAATATAAAGTAATATACCTTGCTTGTAGAAAATTAGGAAAGGATACAAAATAGTACAAAGTACAAAATAGAAAATAGTTCCCTATGATCGCTCCACCTATAAGTAACCACTGTTGACATGTTGGTATGAATCGTTTTGTAAGGAGTTGGGCTTGGTGGTTAAGGAGATGGACTTTGGAGTTTAACAGACCCAGGCAATTTTCAAATCCTGGCACTGCCTCTTACTAAATGTGAGAACGTGGGCAAGTTACTGCAGTTCTTGTCTGCAAAATAAGGATAATAACAATACTTGTCTTAAAGGGTTGTCATGGGGATAAAAAGAACTAATGAATGAAGAACACCCAGAAATCTTCAATCAGTGTTAACCATTTTTAACTCACTGCAATCTTTTAAAAAACTTATGTGTACTATATATACGAAATCTCTATATTATATGTGTATAGCTATTTATAGTCTATATATTTTTATGCAATTGTGACTGTAGTTCTTAGCAATTATGACTTGAAATCATTTTTTTTTAAAAAGTAATGATCCCTTATTCAATTTCTCAGAGGTACAATTCTACATAATAATGCCTGAATAATCTGGTACAACATCCGAAGCTGTCTGTAACTCATGCTACTCCATCTTACTCCAAAATTGATTATTTGCCTGTGCTGGTGCTTTGTCTGGTCTCCTTACCCCTTTTTGCTGGTTGAAATTCTTTTTTTCTAATTATCAATGATGCTGAGCTTTTTTTCATATGTTTGTTGGCTGCATGAATGTCTTCTTTTGAGAAGTGTCTTTTCATGTCCTTTGGCCATTTTTTAATGGGGTTGTTTGTTTTTTCTTGTAAATGTGTTTAAGTTCTTTGTAGACTCTGGATGTTAGACCTTTGTCAGATGGATAGATGGCAAAAATTTTCTCCCATTCTGTAGGTTGTCTGTTCACTCTGATGATAGTTTCTTTTGCTGTGCAGAAGCTCTTTAGTTTAATCAGATCCCATTTGTCAGTTTTTGCTTTTGTTGCAATTGCTTTTGGCGTTTTTGTCATGAAAACTTTGCCCATGCCTATGTCCTGAATGGTATTGCCTAGATTTTCTTCTAGGGTTTTTATAGTTTTGGTTTTTACATTTTAGTCTTTAATCCATCTTGAGTTAATTTTTGTATAAGGCATAAGGAAGGGGTTCGGTTTCAGTTTTCTGCATGTGGCTATCCAGTTCCCAGCACCATTTATTAAATAGGAAATTATTTCCCCATTACTTGTTTTTGTCAGGTTTGTTAATGGTCATTTGGTTGTAGGTGTGCAGTCTAACTTCTGAGTTCTCTATTCTATTCCACTGGTCTATATGTCTGTTTTTGTACCAGTACCACACTATGTTGGTTACTGTAGCCTTGTAGAGTAGTTTGAAAATGGGTAGCGTGATGCTTCCAGCTTTGTTCTTTTTGTTTAGGATTGTCTTGGCTATATGGGTTCTTTTTTGGTTCCATATGAATTTTAAAAGTTTTTTTTTTCTAATTCTGTGAAGAATGTCAATGGTAGTTTAATGGGAATAGCATTGAATATATAAATTACTTTGGGCAATATGGCCATTTTCATGATATTGATTCTTCATATCCATGAGCATGGAATGTTTTTCCATTTGTTTGTGTCCTCTCTGATTTCCTTGAACAATGGTTTGTAGTTCTTCTTGAAGAGGTCCTTGACTTCCCTTGTTAGCTGTATTCCTAGGTATTTTATTCTCTTTGTAGCAATTGTGAATAGGAGTTCATTCATGATCTGGCGCTCTGCATGCCTGTTGTTGGTGTACTGATCATTAGAGAAATACAAATCAAAACCACAATGAGATACCATCTCATGCCAGTCAGAATGGCGATTATTAAAAAGTCAAGAAACAACAGATGCTGGTGAGGTTGTAGAGAAAAAGGAACACTTTTACACTGTTGGTTGGAGTGTAAATTACTTCAACCATTTGGAAGACATTGTGGCGATTTCTCAAAGATCTAGAAACAGAAACACCATTTGACCCAGCAATCCCATTACTGGGTATATACCCAAAGGAATATAATCATTCTATTATAAAGATACATGCACGTATATGTTCATTGTATCACTATGCACAATAGCAAAGACATGGAATCAATCCAAATGCCCATCAGTGATAGACCGGATAAAGAAAATGTGGCACATATACACCATGGAATACTATGTAGCCATAAAAAGGAATGAGATTCTGTCCTTTGCAGAAACATGGATGAAGCTGGAAGCTGTTATTCTCAGCAGACTAACACAGGAACGGAAAACCAAACACTGCATGTTCTCACTTGTAAGTGGGAGCTGAAGGATGAGAAAGCATGGACACACGTAGGGGAAACAACACACACTGGGGCCTGTCAGGGGAGTCGGGGGAGGGAGAGCATCAGGAAGAATAGCTAATAGATGCTGGGCTTAATACATAGGTGATGGGTTGATCTGCACAGTAAACCACCATGGCACTCGCTTACCTAGGTAACAAACCTGCACATCTTGCACATGTACCCCAGAACTTAAAATAAAAGTTGATGAAAAAAATTAGAAAGAATTCTGTGAGAATCAATTGGCTATATTAAAAGTACTACATTTTTTTAAAAGAAATTCTTTTTTTAAAAAAACCCAAATTTTCCCACACTATTAATTATTATTATTATTGTGATAAATACAGTTAACGTAAGATCTATCTTCTTAGTGGATTTTACAGTACACAGTACAGTACATGTTAACTGTAGACACTGCTGGATAGTAGGTTCCTTGGACTTGTTCGTCTTGTATAACTGAAACTTTATGCCCTTTGACTAATATCTCCTCATTTCCTCCTCCCCCTATCCCCTGGTAACCACTATTTTTTACTCTCTGTTTCCATGAGTTTGACTATTTTAGACTGATCGTGTAAGTGGTTGTCCATCATGTAAGTATTTGTCCTTCTGTTTTTGTCTTATTTCACTTAGCATAGTGCCATCCAGGTTCATCCATGTTTTCCCAAATGGCAGAATTTCCTTCTTTTTAAGGCTGAGTGATATTTTATATATATATATGTGTATATATATGTGTGTGTATATATATATGTGTATATATATATGTGTGTATATATATATACGTATATATGTATATATATGTATATATATATGTATATATATGTGTGTATGTATATATATATATATATATATATATATAAAAAACATTTTCTTTATCCATTCATCTGTCATTGGACATTTAGGTTGTTTCCATGCCTTTGCTATTGTGAATAATGCCACAATGAAAATGGGAGTGCAGATATCTCTTCAACATTCTGATTTTATTTTCTTTGGATGTATACCAGAAGTAAGATTTCTGGATCATATGGTAGTTCTAGTTTTAATATTTGAGAAAAACCCATATTGTTTCTTGTAGTGACTGCACCAATTTACATTCCCATAAACCATGTACAAGGGTTTCCTTTTCTGCACAACCTCACCAATATTTGTTATTTGTTTATTTTGATGATAGACTTCCTAACAAGTGTGAGGTCATATTTCATTGTAGTTTTGATTTGCATTCCCCGATGATTAGTGATGTTGAGCACCTTTTCATTACATCTATTGGCTTTTTGTATATCTTCTTTGGAGAAAAGTCTATTCAGTTTCTTTGTTCACTTTTTAATTGAGTTCTTTGTTTTGTTTTTTGCTACTGAGTTGTAGGAGTTATACGTTTTGAGTATTAGCTCTTTGTCAGATACACAGTTTACAAGTATTTTTGCGCATTTTTTACATTGCCTTCTCATTTTGTTGATTGTTTGCTTTGGTGTGCAGAGCTTTTGGTTTGATGTAATCCCACTTTTCTATATTTACATTTGTTGTCTGTGCTTCTTGTCATATCCAAGAAATTATTACTAAGGTCAAAATCAGGAATATTTCCCTCTATGTTTTTCTTCTAGAAGTTTTAAGGTTTCAGGTCTTACATTTAAGTGTTTAATCCATTTTGAGTTGATTTTTGTGTATAGTGTAAGATAAGGGTTCAATTTCATTCTTTTGTATGTTGATACCCAGTTTTCCCAGCATCACTTATTGAAGAGACTAACATTTCCCCATTGTGTGTTCTTGGCACCCTTGTCAAAGATATGTTAACCACATATGCATGGGTTTATTTCTGGGCTCTCTATTCTATTCAATTGGTCTATATGTCTGTTTTTATGCCAGTACCATGTTGTTTTAATTATTGTAGCTTTGTAATATTTTTTGAAACCAGAACGTATGATGCCTCCAGCTTTGTTCTTTTTGCTCAAAATTGCTTTGACTATTTGGGGTCTTTTGTGATTTCATATAAATTTTAGAATTGCTTTTTGTATTTCTACAAACATGTCAATGGGATTTTAGTAGGGATTACATTGAATCTATAAGTAACTTTGGATAGTATGACCACTTTAACATTATTAACTCTTCCAATCCATGAACATGGGATGTCTTTAATTTCTCTTATTAGTGTTTTATAGTTTTTAGGGTACAAGTCTTTTACTTTCTTGATTAAGTTTATTCCTATTTTATTCTTTTTGGTGCTGTCATAATTGGAATTGTTTTCATATTTTCATTTAGTATAATTTGTTGTTAGTGTTTAGAAACACAACTGATTTTTGTATGTTGATTTTATATCCTGTAACTTTGCTGAATTTGTTTCTAATGATTTTTTATATCCTGAAACTTTGATTAATTAGTTCTAACAATTTTTATGAAGTCTTTTAGGGTTTTCTATATATAAGATCATGAAGTATGCAAACAGGGATAGTTTTACTTCTTCCTTTTGATTTGGATGACTTTTTTTTTCTTGCCTAATTGCTCTGCCTAGCATGTCCAGAACTACATTGAATGGAAGTGGTGAAAGTAGCATCCTTGTCATGTTCCAGATCTTAGGGGAAAAGCTCTCAGTCTTTCACCATATGATGTTAGCTATGGGTTGTTCATATATGAATATATATTGTGCTGAGATAAGTTCCTTCTGTATCTAATTTAGTGACAATGTCTATTATAAATTACGTGTTGAATTTTGTCACAAGCTCTTTCTGCATCAATAATCATGGGGTTTTATCTCATTTGTTAATGTTGTATATCACACTGGTTGATTTGCATATGTTGCATATATTTGCAAAGCCTATGGCTTTGATATCAGATGACGCTGGCCTTATAACAAGTTTGGAAGTGTTCCCATGCTGATGGAAATTCTAATTATTGTTTAAGACCTAGCCCCCAAAATAAAACCCTCCATGAAATTCTCCTTGGTTCTTCCAATTGGGATAGCAGAGAGTACTTCTCTACTTGAAGATTTCTGTGTTATAAAACCTTAGCAGAGAAGCTAACACCACCTCCTGCCTCCAAGGCGTGGGTGGAATCTTAATCAATATTTACCAGTAACGATGATGAACACATTTCCAAACTTGCTTCCCACTGATTTGAAAGCCATTAGTAATGAGTCTCAGCTCAGGGCTCAGGCTGGGAATAACCTACTAGGCACTAGGCCTCTGAACAGAATTTTAAACAGTTGAAGTTAGTAAGACTTCTTCCTGCCATATAAAAGCTGGAAACAATACAGATTTAAACATATAATGGTTTATTCTCTCATGTAGAGAAAGTCCAGAGGTGATTGGCCCAGGCCTGGTAATGGAGGCTGTAGGCTGTCATCAGGCAGACTCCTTTCTCTCTGCTTTGCTACCTCCAGTGCATGGCCATCCTGAGTCACCTCTTAGTCTAACATGGCTTCTGGTGTGCCAGCCAGTGGATATCCATGCCACGCTGTAGGTCTGGTCATAAAGGGGGAAAAGGGGGAGAAATAACTTTCTTTTCAAAGAGTTTTTGCAAAAGCTCCATAAACACTTCTAGTTACATCTTGTTGGCCACAACATAGTCACCTGGCCATACCTAGATTCAACAGAATCTGGGAAATATTGCCGCTTAAATACAACTGGCATCGTTTTATAAAGGAGGAAGGTGAGAATGGTTGTTGGCATAGCAACAAGCAGTCCTTGCCAGAGCTGGAAGGCTCTGATGACAGGCGGTGTTACCAGCATGACTCTCACCTGTAAAAGGAATTGTATACAATGGGAATTTTTGGGGCTGACAGTGGGGTGAGGTGGGGAGCATCAAGATCACAATCATATAGAAAACACCTGGAGCCCCAGAAAGTGGCCTGCCCTGCACTGCAGGTTGTCCTTGGGCCTCCTATATATCTTGCTCTGGAGTGTCTTTCTTTGGATCCTCTTCCAAGGGTCTTTCCTAACCCCAGCTCCAAAATGTGGTAGACTGATTTCCAGAAGCCTTCAGAGTCTTTTCAGTCCTTTGTACTTTTCAAAGCACTTTACACACATGATTCTGTTTTATTCTTACCAAAGCCCCATTTAGTAGTAATAGGTGGTGTTTCCTGATCTTGCTAGAAGCCATTCAAGTGTTAAATACTTCTATGTGCATCATCTTGAGTCATTCTCACAATGACTCTGAGAGTCCAGAATTGCTGGAAGCTTATTTTTCAGATGAAGGAATGGAGGCTCAGAGAGGTGATGTGACTTGCCTGAGGTAACACAGGACATAGGTGGGAGTTGAACCCAGTTCTGTTTGATTCTGAAGCTCCAGTTCCTTAGCCATAAGGCTGGAATGGCTCTTATTTCCATTTGACAATTGAGAAAAAGAGCCTAGGGAGTTTAAGTGTGAAAGGTTATAAACAAGTGGGTGATGATGCCCACATCAGGACCCAGCTCCCAGACCTCTCACCACTGGGCTGCCCGGCCTCATCGCCCAGGACCTGTGAGCACACGTATATGCACCAGTCCATGCCAGGCTGACTGGTGCAGCCCAGATTACCTTTAGATCTCTGCCTCCTCCATACAGTTTCCAACCTAGAAGCATCCAGGCTAATCAAGATCAAAGCAGAATTTGTGAGGTGTCTGGGAGAGGCTGCAGATTTAGCAGCAGGGAGGGAAAACCATCTTTTGATTTGTGAGCTGAACCCCTCTGATCTGAAAATCAATAGGAGTAAATTGGTTAGACCCAGGGAGGCCTTTCCCTGCTATGCCCTGCTGCAAGAGCCCTTGAACGTGCTGCTGTCCTGCTGTTCCCCGGCTGCAGTAGCTCTTGAACTTGCCACTGTCCTCCTGCATTGTGACTCCCTCCAGGATGGCCCCTGCAGTGGCCCCTGTGGAAAAGCAGCATCAGATGAAGTCATTATTCTGCGAGGACCAGACAAGAGTTTTTTATTTTTTATTTTTTTTATTATTATTTTCTTTTCTGGTTCCAGCCCATGATGTGACTTCGATAGCTCTTCTTTATTGTTTGTCAGGGGCAGCTGTTCTGGAGTCTCAGTTGCAGAAGAAAGGCCTGGATTTAATAAGTTTTTATAGCAAATGCCAACTGGGCCTATCAAAGCTGCCTGGAGACCCCACAGGGCATGCCATGGCCTCTTTCAAGACTCCTCAGTTCTGTTCAAGAGCTGAGAACTGCAGGCATTTCAGATGCATCGGCCACTGGGGTGAAACGCAGGCCAGGAACTTGTTGTCTCTCCTGTCAATCATTCTGGGCAGAAATTACCAGGGGGGCACTCACTGACCACCTGAGCAGTTTCAGGAGCACCCAGGATCATTAGACCCAAAGCTGGAAGGGAATCTTATCATCATCTTGTTCACTCCTGGATCTCCAGGCTGAACCATGGTAAACCAAACCTATGGGGAATATTTTCCAGTTGTAAATAATTTGGTAGAGGGCCTTGTACCCTGTCTCAGTGCTGGCACATCCTAGGTACTCCATGAATAAACATTGATTGAATGAATATATGAATAAATTGTCACTGTAACTAAAGGCTATAGAGCCAGGAAGTTCTTCAGGGAACTCTGAGAACTCACATTTAATCATCAGCTGCACAGGAGTTTAGAAAAGTGTGAGCTCAAAAAACTAGCACCTAGGTGTTCCCAGCACTGTGCCTCCTGAGCACTGACCTGTTACTCCACCCCCGCCCCATCGTAGGTGGGTTTCTTGGGCTCTGGTTGCTGTAGCAGGATAGTCAAGCTTTACCATCTGACAGATCTAGGTTCAGATCCAGACTCTGCCACCTGTTAGCTACATGATCTTAGGCAAACATCTTTTGGAGACTCACTTTTTCTCAGTAGAATGAGGCAGCAATTTTATCTAACTCTTGGGCTGTTTACAGGTTGCCCGAGACAATGCACGTGAAGAGTGCCTGGCACTTGGTAAAGAGATCACAGTAATGGTTACTATGACATCACCGTGACAGTAGGTCCCTGGATCATTCTTTTCTGTCCACTCCCACCCCTGCATCCAGCCAGGTTCTCCTGGCTACAGTGTAGACCTCACCTTTTCCCATTTTGCCAAGGCCAGAACTGTACTTGTGGAACTTCACTAAGAAAAGAAAGATAGATAAAACCCTTCTATGACTCAAAACACTCATTTTCCTTTAAAATTTCAGGAAATAAACATTCACCTGCCATAAGTTGGATTGACTGGCTTAGCTTACCTGAGGTACAGTCCTAAAACACTTCTATTTCATCATACTTGCCTCAGGATCCTTAATAATACTGATTAATTATTGACAGATTGACTTATTATTTATTATATATTTATGGTGATCCAGGCTTGGGGAATGCAGTGCTGGGTTAGACAGACAATAAGCAGTTAAATATTTGGAACACCAGAAGGTTGTCAATGCCCTACAGCCAAAGAGCAATGGGATTATACCTGTAATTGAGCGAAGTTGCCTTTATTGGCTCTTGGCAGTGAGAGAGAATGTATGCTGGGGAGCTGCATTATCCAGATGTCCTTAGTTTTTACCTAGTGTTCCTTTTTCATTCTAGGATCTCATCCAGGATACCATAGTTCATTAGTCCTCACGTCTCCTTAGGGTCTTCTTGGCTGTGACCGTTTCTCGGACTTTCCTTGTCTTTGATGACCTTGACAGTTTTAAGGAGTGCCGATCAGCTATTTTGTAGAATATCTCTTAGTGAGATGTTAGGAAGAAATAATGATAGGGCTTGGAGTTGTGTTGGGTGATTTGGGGGAGGATTCAAGGAAGTGGTTCTTTGCTCCAGATTGGATGCTTCCAGGAAGCAGGGGTCATTCTGTATCTGGGTATCTGTATTAGTTTCCAACTGCTGCCATTATGAAACATCATAAACCTAGTAGCTTAGAACAGCAAAAAATTATCTCACAGTTCTGGAGGAAGTCCAAAATCAGATTCATTGGGTTAAAATGAAGGTGCCAGCAGGTCTGGTTCTTCTCCCCTGGAGGCTCCAGGGGAGAACCTGTCTTCTTGCCATTCCCAGCTCTGGATGCCACATGCATTCCTTGGCTTATGGCATCTTCCTTAATCTTCAAAGCCAGCAGCATGGTGTTGTCATATCTCCTTCACTGACTCCAACCCGACTGTCTTCCTCTTACAAGAGCCATTGTGATTACATTGGGCCCGCCTGGATAATTCTGAATAATCTCCCCTTCTAAAAATCTTCAACTTGGTCACATCTGCAAATCCCCTTTTGCCATATAAAGTGACATATTCACAAGTTCTTGGGATTAGACTGTGAACATCTTCGGAGGGGCACTCTTCTGCCTATCACAGTACCTCAAAAATTCTCATCTAGAAGGCGAGGCGAACAGAGCAAGGCCAAATCTATTGTTGGTGAAGCAGCAGCAGTCACTCCTATTAGCAGAATATCAGGATGCTTGATCGCTGCTGTGTTTTGGACAATGCTCATGTTTTTGTCTATGTTCAAACATGATTATGGAGTGGTCTTGTTTTTGTTTTGATCCATCGTGGACACAGAGGGGTCTTGTCTGATCTTGTTCTGTGAAGTTGTTTATGTTCAACAGGAGAACACCCCAGCCTAGCTGAAGGTGTCAGGCAAGCTCTTGGCTGTCAGGGACTGCTTTTTCTTTGTCATGAAGATAAATTCTATGAACAGTAGGACAGTTTGAGGGGGATGGGTCATACTGTGGTGGAGTGTTCTCTTATTTTACAGGCACAATCAGGAAAGGCCTTGGTGGTGAAGTTGACATTTGAAGGATATGAAGGAAGAGGCTATGTGATCATCTGGGGAGAAAGAATTTCAGGCAGAGAGATCATAAGGTGGAAAGCCCTGAGATGGGAGTATGTTTGGATGTTGGGTACAGAGTGTAAAAAAGAGAATGCAGCCAAAGATGACTCCAAAAGTTTTGACCTGAGCAACTGGAAGAGTGGAGTTCGCATTTATTGAGATGGGAAAGACTGCATTTTATTGTAGAAGGAGTTTAATATTTTACAACCTTTTAGTTTTAGGAAAGTTTTAGATTTACAGAAACATTGTGACAGTAATACAGAGTTTCCATATATCTCACACTCAATTTCCCCTATTCTTAATATATTTAATATACATTTGTCACAGTTAGTGAACCAATATCGATGGACTATTAATAACTGAAGTCCATACATTATCCAGATGTCCTTAGTTTTTACCGAGTGTTCCTTTTTCATTCTAGGATCCCATCCAGGATACCATATTCCATTACTCATCACGTCACCTTAGGCTCCTCTTGGCTGTGACCATTTCTCGGACTTTCGTTGTCTTTGATGACCTTGACAGTTTTGAGGAGTGCCAATCAGCTATTTTGTAGAGTATCCCTCAATTAGGATTTGTCCAGTGATTTTTTTTTGTTTTTGTTTTTGTTTTTGTTTTGAGACAGAGTCTCACTCTGTCACCCAGGCTGGAGTACAGTGGCGCGATCTCGGCTCACTGCAAGCTCCGCCTCCTGGGTTCACGCCATTCTCCTGCCTCAGCCTCCCGAGTAGCTGGGACTACAGGTGCCCGCCACCACACCTGCCTAATTATTTTGTATTTTTTTAGTAGAGACGGGGTTTCACCGTGTTAGCCAGGATGGTCTCGATCTCCCGACCTTGTGATCCACCCACCTCGGCCTCCCAAAGTGCTGGGATTACAGGCGTGAGGCACCGTGCCCGGCCTTTTTTTTTTTTTTTTTTTTTTTTTTATCGTGATTAGACTGGTGTTATGGGTTTTTGGGAGGAAGACCCCAGAGGTATGGTGTCCTTCTCATCACATCATATCAAGGGTGCATACTGTCAACATGACTTATCCTGTTGGTGTTAATCTTCAGCATCTGGATAAGGTAGGATTTTTCAGGTTTTTCTACAGTAAAGTTACAGTTTTAACCCTTTTCCATGCTGTACTCTTTGAAAGGAAGTCCTTATGAACAGCCTACACTTAAGGAATGTAGATACTCTACCTCCTTGGTGGTGGAGTATCTGCATACATTATTTGGAATTCTTCTGCATTCATCTGGTCTCCATTTACTTACTTATTTAATCATTTATATGAGTATGGACTCATAGACTTTTATTTTATACCTTGGGTTATAGTCCAATACTACTTTATTTCATTGCTCAAATTGTTGCAGCTTTGACCATTGGGAGCGCTTTCCTTTGACTCCTAGGTCTTTTTCTGTTTGTTTGTTTTTGTTTTTGTTTTTCTGAGATGGGGTCTCACTCTGTTGCCCAGGCTGGAGTACAGTAGCATATCTTGGCTCATTGCAACCTCGACCTCCCAGGCTCAAGTGATCCTCATGCCTTAGCCTTCTGAGTATCTAGGACTACAGGTGCATGCCATCACACCTGGCTAATTTTTGTACTTTTGTTTTTTTTTTTTTTTTTTTTTTTTTTTGTAGAGACAGGTCTTGCTATGTTGCCCAGGTTGGTCTCAAACTCCTGGACTTAAGTGATTCTCCCACCTCAGCCTCCCAAAGTGCTGGGATTGCAGATGTGAGCCACCGTGCCCAGCCTTTAGGTCTTTTTGACATCCCACGTGTGTGTGTGTGTGTGTTGCACTTCCATACTTTTGGGCACCAGAATGTGCTCAAGGCTGGTCCTTTTTATTTTCTGCCTCAGCCCTAGAATCAGCCATTTCTTTAAGGAACCCTGGTTCCTTTTATTGGAAAATGATATTTGAAACCAAGGTACAGGGTACAGATGCCAGGTTTTCCCTTATTGCTACTGGGATGCTGTTGTTTCTAATCCAAGAGTTCCATTTTGGTAATATTAAGCTAAACCCTCTCACTTGACATGCAAGTAGATATATATACACAAGTGGCAGTTCTATAGAGAGGGCTGGAGTTCAGGGAAGGGTCTGGTCTGGAGATAAACATTTGAGAGTCATTATAATGAAAATGGCAATAAAGTCATAAGACTGGATAAAATTTTCTAGTAATTAGAAAACAATTATCAATTGCAAGATGATGAGTGAGCAAAGAAGGTTCAGGAGTGGCCAGTGAGATAAGGTGAGTGGATTCCAGAAGCCAAGTGAAGAAAGATTTTCAGGAAAGAGAGCGAGGGATCATCGGTGTCTGTGATCAAGGGAAACGATAACTGAGAATTGATCAGTGGATTTTGTCATGGCAACATCCGTGGTGATCCTAACCAGGGCTCTTTTAGGGAAGTAGTAGAGATAAAAGCCTGACAGCTTCAAATGAGAATGGCAAGAGAGGATCTAGAGACAATGAGTTTGAATAACTTTTATTTGGAGAAGTTTTATTCTAAAAAAGAGCAAAGAAATGGGGTGGTATATGGAAAGGGATGTGAATCAAGAGATGGATTTTTAATTTATATATATATATTTTAAAACAGGAGCTATTGCAATATGTTTTCTTCTTATGGGAATAATCCAGTGGAGAATAAAAAAACTGATGTTTCAGTAAAAAGAGGTGACAGTAATTACAATGTGTTTTAAGATGTTACTATTTACCTTCACTCTGCTAAGTGCTTTATATGAATCATCTCATTAAATACCCACACAAATTCTGCAAAGCAAGCATTATCCCATTTTAAATATTAGAAAACTGAGGCCCAAAGAGGTAAAACAAATTAGCCAAGGTCAAACAGAACCAAGATTCAAATCCAGATTGTTCTGACAGTGATGTCCATGGTCTTAGCCAATGTGCTCTTAAAAAAAAAAAAAATCTTTGGGGAATTCTCTTTTCTCTTTCCTTCATTTGCTTCTTTCCTCTTCAGGAAAAAGAGTCTTTAGGACAGTGGATATAACATGCGGTAATAACCCTTTCTTTGGCTGGGCTTTGGGGCCCCCGTACTTCTCCGGAGCCACACTAACAAGGCAGTGGTGTCTGATGACTTTGAAGTGTTCCACATGTTCCCCTCTCCGATGAGGGGCCCAAGATCTTTTTATCTACCTTCTTCTCCCTCCTTCCCATGTGTCCCTTCTCCATTCATCTATCCCAGAAGTATATTAAGTACCTGATATGTGTGAGATGCAGGGGATATAATGGAAAATAAAATAGACAAAGGGATACATACACAAGCGGCAGGTCTACGCTTGCCCTCATGAAACTTACCATTTCCACATTGAGTATGTTTGGACAGATGTAGCCAATTCCACGATGGGAAGTAACAGTGACCTTTTACCATTCTCTGGTCTCCGGCTGGTAATATAAGGAAGGCAAAGAGGTTGGGCATAGCACAACAGAGGTAGATGGGGTCTGCGGCCACCTGGAAAGTACGTGGCCACCCAAAGGGGACAGTCATTTCTCAAATCGAGCTGACTGTGGTCCTGAGCCCAGTGTTATCAGGTATTTACATTTTGTCACAAGAAGATGGAGATTAACACTTTCATGTGAGAACTCCCAATTTTAAGATTTGGGCAATTTATTTTAATAAATCCTCTCCTGCCTGCCATTCCACACTTCCTCTTCTATGGGTCTGATCCAATCTGTGGGCTGTCAGTTTACAATTTCTGCTGTATAGCACTTCACTTGGTTAGATAAAGCATGACAGTTCCCATTTAACATCTTGTTGCTTTTTGGTCTGTTAAACAAAGTCAAGATTGGAACTTTAGTCCTAATATCAGCCCTTAAAAATAATTTCTCTGAAATATGCCTTTTGCCTAGTAAGATGACTAAAGTGTGCATAATGAATGTATGCGTAAACTTACATTCAGCTACGTGAATGTTCCTTTCATTTTAAAAGCCATCTTGCTTATGAAAACTGAAAGGAATTTATTACAAGAAACCCCTTTGCTATTTTGGAGTGTACTTTTACATGAACAGTAGAAGCAAAGGAATAGGAAACACAGCTCAGAAATTTGGAACTGGGACACACACAGTCTTTCATGTCTAGGTCACTGAGTGGAATCCGGCCCAAGGCAAAACTGTCTAAAACATGCAAGCATCAACAGCTGCTCAGCAGACCATGTGCGAGGGACTCAGGATCTCAGTTTGCTATCATCGCTGGGTTTTCTATATCATGCTGTGGCTGTGCTTAGGTGCTGCTCTTCATAACAATTATGTGAATACTGCTAGCATTGTCATCCCTGTTTAGTGGATGTAGAGACAGAGGCAGAGAGAGAAAAGGGGAAGCTATTTTGGAAGGCCTGAGAAGAAGCCAAGGTTCAAGTCCTCGTCTTGAGTTTAGATTCTTTGTCTACCATGTGTTATACAGTGTTTCTTAAATATCAGGTGTTCTTATGCTGCTGGAATGAATCTTACTATATCTTTATACCACCTGCGCTCTTATTTACATAATTGTAAAAAATGCACCCACATTTTCACTCAAATAATGTATTTTATAAGGAAAATGGCCAGGTGCAATGGCTCATGCCTGTAATCCCAGCACTTTGGAAGGCCAAGGTGGACGGATCACTTCAGGTCAGGATTTCAAGACCAGCCTGGCCAACATGGAGAAAACCTGTCTCTACTGAAAATACAAAAACGAGCCATGCGTGGTGGCATATGTCTGTAGTTCTAGCTACTCGGAAGGCTGAGGCACAAGAATCGCTTAAGCCTTGGAGGTGGAGGTTGCAGTGAGCCGAGATCATGCCACTGCACTCCAGCCTTGGTGACGGAGTGAGACTGTCTCAAAAAAAAAAAAAAAAAAAGAGGCTGGATGCATGCAGTGGCTCATGCTTGTAATCCCAGCACTTTGGGAGGCCAAGGCGGGCAGATCACAAGGTCAGGAGCTCAAGACCAGCCTTACCAACATGGTGAAACCACATCTATACTAAAACTACAAAAATTAGCTAGGCATGGTGGCACATGCCTGTAATCCCAGCTACTCAGGAGGCTGAGGCAGGAGAATCGCTTGAACCTGGAAGGCGGAGGTTGCAGTGAGCCGAGATCACGCCATTGCACTCCAGCCTGGGCGACAGAGTGAGACTCTGTCTCAAAAAAAAAGAAAAAGAAAATTTATCTCATTACCATTAATCAAAAACCAATATTATTTGCCATAAACAGGAGGTAACAAAAAAGTGTGATAATGTCACATCATTTTTATCATTTTATCAATGTTTATCTATGTATTAATTGCACTTGTCTTGCAGTTCACTAGCAGAATACATTAGGCTAAATCCTTCTGTAAGGAAAGAAGAGTATGCCCAGCTCTGGATTATCTATAGGTGGCAGGTCAGATTTACTATTCTCCTATGTCTTTTTCTGGGGAACTGTTAGTTCATTAATTCATTCATTGACTTGACATTGTTTAAATCTCTATTCTGAGCCTGGCAAAGGTCCCCATCCCTGTGATTCCTTCTAAGTGAGATTATTTCTGTGGGTCACGAATGCTGGGGTGTTTTGGCCTGGGTTTTTGTTGTGCTTCTTTGGCTGCAAACTGGGCTGATCTTTAGCCAAGACACACCAGCACAGTCACACCAGATCCGTGGCTGACACCTGTTCTAATTGCTTAGTGCATCTGGTTCAGATGGAATCGTTTTTCAATATTTTGAATACCCCCCTTAGTGGCAGGCAATAGAAACAGATTCAAATTAATTTAAGCACAAGGGAATTCAATGGAAGGAACTGAGAGCTCACAGATTTTTTTTTTTGAAGGCTGAAGAACCAGGCTGGCGACAGGGCAGAACTAAGGCCAATCTGGAAAGCAACAGTGCTGGAGTCCCCAGCTAATTAGAACATGGATGCTGGTCAGGAATTGACCCCACCAGGGTTAGTCTCTTTGGCCCTCTGCTCATGAATAAAATTCTAGGGAAGGAGGGTCTGACTGCTGAAGGCTGTGGTCACAAGGACACACCTTGAGTGGCAAAAGGAAAGACGTGAATGCTTGTATCCCAAAGAGAAGAGGCACATTTTCAAAGGAAATAGGAGTGTTTTTAGAAGATAGAAGTGGATGCTGAGTGGTCAAAAGGCAACACATATCCAAATACATTGCCTTTTCAGATATGGGGGAGAAAAACATAGGTCCCTTGCTAATCAGTAGAGTAATTGTGGGATGGAAAGATGAGTTTTGCCATAAATAATCATTGAAAAATGTTGGCAATATTTATGCCCTAACCATTTATGAGAAAGAAGTGTCTTTTTCTCTCAATTGTTACATATGTCCTTATTACACAATTATACTAACTACACTTGTATATTTAATGAGAAGGATCATTGTACCTGGAATGAAAAATTCTCATTTTGCCTTTGTTCAACTCTGAGCTTAGTATAGGGAAAACACACACACACACACGAGAGATTTAAGGAGCAGGATATTTTTCTGTGAGTCCCAGCCCTCTCATTGAGTAACTTGTGAGATCTTTGGTGAGATACTTTCTAGGAGCCTTTTCTGGAGTCAGAGACCAAGACAAACTTCCCAGTATCTGTCTTGGGTTGATGGTTACACAGATTGATGTTCTAAGGCAGAAAGTGACTCTGTAGGCTGGGTGCGGTGGCTTATGCCTGTATGCCCATAATCCCAGCACTTTGGGAGGCTGAGGCGGGCGGATCATGAGGTCAGGAGATCGAGACCAGCATGACCAATATGGTGAAACCCAGTATTTACTAAAAATACAAAAATTAGCCAGGCATAGTGGTGGGCACCTGTAATCCCAACTACTCAGGAGGCTGAGGCAGGAGAATCGCTAGAACCTGGGAGGTGGAGGAGGTTGCAGTGAGCCAAGATCACACCATTGCACTCCAGCCTGGGTGAGAGAGTGAGACTCTGTCTCAAAAAAAAAAAAAAAAAAAAGTGACTCTGTAGAGGCCTCTTCAATTCATAAGCAGTTTTATTGATGCCCAACAGTGAGAGAGCCAACTTCTAGTGAAAATTCCCTAATTTATAAATTTTCTGGAGAAAAATATTTCAGTTTATTCTTTAGCATCAAGTAGATCAAGTCCCAGATGTCTGACTGAATTTTTGACTCAGGTGTTTGACATTTAGGGTACTAGCCTAAGCTCCCCAGAGATGTAATTTGCAGGGCCATTGGGACTGCTTTATTTACTGTGGCTAGACCAGGAGAAATGACACGTACAACTTTAATCAGAGGCAGAGACAAAATAGTCCAGCCGGAAATAGTTTGAGAATGGATTTTTCTAGAGAAAAGTGATCTAATAGATCAGTGGTCTCCCAACTTTTGTCTTCACTGAACACACACACACACACACACACACACACACACACACACACACACACACCAAACAATAACAAAAAAAAAAACAGAACAAGATAGTAGGTTCATCAAACAATACTTACCCTGACTATTTGCAAATACACTATACATTTTTATTTCATTCTTTCCTTCTTTATTTTATTTTTAAAGTGCTGCTCACAGCCCTTTAGTATTGATTTTGCATAGGCCCACAATTTTAAGAACACTGATATAGCCGGGTGCAGTGGCTCACGCCTGTAATCCCAGTACTTTGGGAGGCCGAGACGGGCGGATCACGAGGTCAGGAGATGTAGACCATCCTGGCTAACACGGTGAAACCCCATCTCTACTAAAAATACAAAAAAATTAGACGGGCATGGTGGCGGGCACCTGTAGTCCCAGCTACTCGGGAGGCTGAGGCAGGAGAATTTCTTGAACCTGGGAGGCGCAGCTTGCAGTGAGCCAAGATCACGCCACTGCACTCCAGCCTGGGCGACAGAGTGAGACTCCATCTCAAAAACAAACAAACAAAAAACAAAAGCAAAAAAACACTGATGGTCTAATTTTAAAGCCAGCACCACTCGCTCCATTTGCAATTAATGGAGCTGTCCACAGTGCTGATTTCTGCCCACTAAATTGACTTGGTACATAAGAAAAAAAATCCTAAGGCCTTTTGAGAAAGATGCACTTTTATGCTCAGATTTTTCTTTTGCCCATCCTAGAATATATTCTCTGTCTACAGTGCTGGATATATCAATGCAGAATTGTGTGCAAGTGTGTGACTTGCTAGCAGTCAGCCACAGTCCCATGCACTTTGCATATGGTATCTCTTTTAATTCTTACGATCACCTCATTCATAAGAGGTAGGCACCATTCTCATCCTCATTTTCCAGATAAATAATCTGATGCTCAAGGAGATTGTATAACTTCCTTGAAATTACACAGTTGCATAGAGTGGAGTGGAGATTTAAGTCCAGGCCTCTTCTGCCTTCAAACATTTTAGTAAAATCTTCTCCTTAATATATGTAGGTATGCAGGCTGAATAATTTAGATCAATACCAGTGCACAGTATTTACTTTTGACAGGAGGTCTTAGTTTTCTGTCCAAATAACAGTACTCACCCCAGGGCCCAGAGCTGCTGGTGGATTGTCAGAGTGCACAACTGCACGTGATGCTGAGTATGGGTGACTGGCCAACACTGATGACTGAGCCTTGCTGATGGCCAAAAACACATTCCTCTGAACTCCAAGCACACTGCCATCTGGAGAAATGCTTCCCTTATGTTTTGGAGGATAGCTAAACACAGCAGACCCTCCATAGCAGCAAATGTACCTTCCACATGCCTATATGTTGATTTAGAGCAAATTCAGCCAACTAGAACACAGCCAATTCAAGAAAGCAGGAAGAGAGCACGTGTGTTCAAAGAGCACCTATATTTGCAATCCCCATAAATACACTCTCTAGCTTAAACCAGAGAGTTTAATATAGCTACTTAAATGGTCAATAGTATACCAGTGCAAGCTTTCTCAAGGTCAGCTGGGCATTGCAATATTTTACAATCCAGACAACTGACACGAACCAAATGGCCCCCTTCTTCTTTTATAACAACGTGTTTACTTCTTCTCATCCTCCTTCTGACATTTATGGAGTACCTGGTCAGATGAGCAAAGAAAAATAAGACAAGGCTCATCTGCTATTGAAGCTGATGCAATCTCATTCCTTCCAGAACTGCTTATTATGGATCTTTGTGTATTGCCTGAGGCTTTACCTTTCTCTTTCTGTTCTTTTCTTCTGTTTCTGCAAACTCCTCCTTGCTCTCCTCAGGGATAAACACAAATTAATGGGTGTACTGGAGGCCAGCACATGGTTACATCAGAATTTTAAGGAAGCCAGTTTTCTCTGTGTAGAAATGAGAGGCTCAGCTCTCCATGATTCCTTGACTTCTAATCAAACATGCTAATTAGAACCCCATAAACAAGCCAAGGCTCAGAAGAGGGTGGTTTCAAACAGGGTAAGTGTGGAAAGCTATTCTGAATTCCACTAACACTGTGGGTTAATACTTATTACCCTTTTTTTCTCATAAAAAAATACTATTCTGCTCTTTAAACCTGCATTCTCTTAGCTACTATACAAGATAATAATCTATACTTTTTTTCCTGAGACTATTTTACCATCATCTTTATCATGGTTGGCAAGTAACACATAATTTTGGTGTTTGATTAATTGATACACTGTAAGAGTAGGTACTGATATCTCTTTTGATCACCCTTTGACTTTTTACGGTAGGTGTTGAATACATGTTTGTTGAATTCATTAATGAAAAAATGATGTGAGTAAGTACCCAAGTGATACTCATAGTGAAAATATTTTCAATAAATTCCAGATTCATCTAGAAACTTTTCATTGTTCCTGGGTGGTATTTGATGGAACATTCTCAAGAGAAATACTTATGGGAACTCTGAGAGTCAACAAACATCTCTGGATTTGGGGCAAAGTTCACATCAGCCAGTTAGTTGATCACAACCATCTTTTCTGACAGTGCCTTTATGCTTGTAATGAGATGTGATCACAGAGCTATAAAGAAGTGAGAAAGTTAAACCTAAGAGAGACTTGTGAAATATTACAGTGAGATAAATTTTGGGGACATTTGGACAAAATGTATCTTTTTTTCAGTAACATGGAAGATGGCTACAGCTTTGTTCTCATATCTGGTAAATATTATCAATAGCATGTCCTAGGATTCCACAATCCAGACCTTTCTCTCATCTCTCTGTTGGCTTAGGACCCCAAAATGCCTTAAGATTCTTGGAATTTAGAGCCAGAAAGAAATTTCAATATTACTGTATCCAAGTTACTGTGTTTCATAAATGAGGCTTGAGCTAATAAACTCCTTCATTTATTCAACATCTATGTATTGAAGATCTCCTAGATGCCAGGCACTGAACTCATGGACTGCAATATCACAACTAAAAAGGTTCTCCTAACCACACTCTTTGTTCTTATGTAGTTTGCATTCTGGTAGAATGACACAGAAGAGAAAACCAGTTGATAAATAAATGAGTAGCATAGTTTCAGATAGTGGTGAATACTGTGGAGAAGATAAAGCAAGGGATGGACACAAGAATAAGGGAACACGCCTCGACAAGGAATGGTATCTGATTTGAGCTCTGACAAGAAGGAGCCAGGCTTGGAGAGTTCAAGGTGAAGGATTTTCTGGCTGCCTCTCTGGTAAATATCACAAGGTAGGAATAAGTTGCTAAATTCAAATCAGAAAGCCGGTTTGCCTGGATCATAGTGAGGAATGGGGAGGAGAGAGACACAGTGGCTGTGTCAGGTATGGGCAATGGTTGTGTCAGGTATAGCTGTGTAAATCAGGCCAAGCGTTTTGGGTTTCATTCTTTGTGCAATGGGAAACCACTGGAAAGCTTTAAGCAGGGAAGTAAAGTGATGTATTTATTTTTAAAAGATTACTCTAGCTGTCCAAGAAGAAACTAGTCCATTGGGGTTGGCATGGGAAAAGTATAGGTAAGAGGCTATGCTATGATCTAAATGAGAGATAAATCCTCAATCGTATAGTGACTTACTGGCAGATCCTAGGGTAAAAATTCAGGTTTCCTCCAACAACAAATGAATTCAGTAAAGTTAAAAAATATCAAATAAAAGAGTAGTTAATATTTATTAAGTGCTTAGTGTTTGCCAGATCCTTTATAGGCATCACTTTAATTGACTGCTTTCTAAGCACCATTTTATTTAAAATTTGTCATAATTCTCTGAGGTGGATTCTATTCTTTCTATTTTACAGATGAGGAAACTGAAGCCTCAAGAATTTAAGTGTGTTTCCCATGTTCACACAGATATCAAGTGACAGAGTGGCAGGGTGGGGCTACAACCTAGACTGTCCCAGAACCCATAAGCCTCAAAGACCAGTCTCACTAGTTGTAGTGAGGGGCAGATAGTAGGGTGGTCATGCAGGTGGGTATTGGAGCCAGAAAGCCTGCATTCAGATCCCAGCTCTCTTGCTTATGAACCCTGTGACCTTGGGTGAATCACTTCATTAACTTCTCATTGCCTTTATTTCCTCATCTATAAACTAGGAAGAAGAAGAAGAGTAGATTATGCTTCATAGACTCATTGATTTAACGTATGCACAGAGTTTAGAATGGTGTTTGGCCATAGGAAGCATTCAGCAAATACTGTCATTGCTGTGTAGTCACACCACGTGAATGTGAGCCACATTTTAGACTATAATGCAAAGAAGCTCCTCCCTTCATCTTCTGGGTAGCTGAAATGCTCAGCCCAGAGCAGGGGCTCAAGAGACATTTGTTTGAAGATATTGTTTTCTTGAGGCCAGATGAACTTCTTACTCATTTGGATTCCAGGTGAGCTGGGAGGAAGTATGCAAGTGATCCGTCTCTGCTAGTGTTCCCTAGTTTTGGGTGTGTCCCCCTTGGAAACTCTGCTTTGTCTAGGGGGCAACTGAGTAACTGCCACAGCTTCATCCTCAGAACAAGAGGAGGAGAAGGGAGGAAGTGAGTCCTGGGGATCGAGCTTCATGTCAGGTGGTTCATGTCAGGTGGTGGTTAGGGAAATTGTTTACAGAGGTCCCTCCTCAGGCATAAAAACAAAGAGAAAAATATTTAAGGCTTTCATTTTCAGGTAACATTTCAGGGAGAGCCAGACACTCTAGATTCGGAACCAAGACAAAAATCCAATGACCTAACGAGATTCTAGAACTTTTGTGATGTGATTGCAATGTTTACTATCTTGCATCCTTTCCCCTCCCCATGTTCCCATGGTGATTAGTATTATAATAAAACTCGGGAAAGAAATATGACCCCTGAACTTTGTCTTTGCAAAGGATGGAAAAACAGAGAAGCTGGGTCCCATGTAACAGCCACAGTTTGTAGAATGGATATGGCAGCAATGCCTGAAAGAAAGGGAAAACGCTGATTCTCTGGCTCCCTGGGGCAAAAGAAAAAGGAAAGTGGAGGAGGGGGAGTTTCATTGAACTTAGGGCTAATAAGTGGCTTTGGGACTGGTCAGGCAGAAGTCCTCATAGGTTCCTTGGTATATGTGTGGTCTCAAAGACCACCAGCCTCTCACCCCCTTGCAGCCTCTGCTGGTCTCGGAAACCCAAGCTCATTATTTCAACTGGCTGTCGGCATCTGTGCTGTTACACATAATGATCAGCAGGGGGCAGTGTAGCCAACATATTACTTGTGAGTGAGGGGCTGTCTGCTTTCCACAGGAGGGTCTGGGGAAAAAGTTCATGCAACGTAAAACTGCGCCTAGCTGTGCAGGCTCTGAGTAGAAGACTCTACCTTTTCCCTTTCTCGCCTCCAGGATTCTACTCTTCCCTCTCTTGTCTCTTCTTCTATTTTGCTTCCTTGCTCCCTCTGCTCAGCCGCCTACCTTTTATCTTTGCAAAGCATGCTCATACCCATTGCCTTCTTGGGTCCTCCCAGATATTCTATGAGAGATGGGGCCAGGTTAAATATCGAACATTTTGCAGATGAAGAAACAGAGACCCAGAGAGGCGCCTGGTCCCTAGCCCCCGTTCTTTCTTCCCATACACTTAGGGGACATGAAAGTCAACAGCCCAGGGTTACATTGTTTTTCATTGCAGAGAAGGCTCTTCTACCCCCAGGGGCACTGCACACACACGTTGGAATTAGAGCAAGAGCTGCCAAAGTAATAAATTGAGAAGGGGCTTGTTCAGAGGCATGGACTCTGGGGTACCGTCAATTTCATCAGGCCCTCCACGGAAAGGATGAAAAGTCAAAGGACTATATATCCTTTGAAGACACACTTGGGACAAGGTGGGAAGAAATCTTTCTTTGTGCTTGTTAAGAAAATACGTCACCAGTGCTCCTGGATCAGGGCTCGGTGGCCGGACCAAGCCAGTGAAAGCTAAGACTACATCCTCCGTACAGGAGTGTGAGACTATGAGTGCCTTCCTCCATCTCTTTAAACCTTGGTTTCCTCTCATATGAGGGGTGATTGTAACAGTGTTGATCTCACAGAGCAGTTTTGATGGAGTCCTGCACATACTCTGCATTCAATCAATATTGCTATTAGTATCAAAATAAGAAACTGACTGTTTTCATAGCTACTCTGTGTGAAAGATTGATTATATTGATGGTCTTGGTTAATGCCTGCTTGTAGCTACCCTTTGCTATGGGACCTTCTAGTCTCTGCCCACTCTGAGTCCAAACTGGACTTGGGTCTTGCTTTGGCCAATGGAATGCCAAAGTGACTTTGGCTAAAGGGACTCTGTGATAGTTTCAAGCCTGGCTTCCAGTATCCTTGAACTCTTCTGTTTTCTCTTGCTTGCTCTTGAAACATTGCCACCACTGTAGGGAAAAGCCCAGGCTACCCTAGTGGAGGATGAGAGTGACATGGAGCAGAGCGAGTCCAGTTTCCTAACTGAGGTTATTATTGGACCAGGCTCAGACACTGGACTTCCAGTCATGTGGGAGAGCCCAGCTAACATCAGCAGAACTGCCACCTGACCACAGCTGACCCAGGTACATGAGTAGGTCCACCTGCCACCAGAAGAACTTCTCAGCTGACCCATACCGACTTGGGAACAATCATAAATACTTATTGTTTGATGCCACCTACTTTTGAGAGAGTCTGTTTCACAGCAATAGCTAATGATCCACTACTTAAAGTTTTACAGCGTTTCATTGAAGGAGGGGGGAAATGCTGGCTAGGACTATCTGAAAAGTGACCAACGTATTAGCTATATTACTAAATACTTAAGTCAGTAGTGATATTTTTAAAGTCTCAAGTTTAATGATAGGTGCATGATGATTCAGAGTAAACACTGGAATAAGACAGTGCTGATTCCAAATGCCTGCTCCACCTTTGACCAAATTTGGGAACTGCTGTATGCCTCGATCTCGTCTTCTGCAAAGTGGGGATGATAATAGTTGATGGGAAGAATAGTGGTGGGAATTACATGGGATAATCTATGTAGAGTGTTTAGCATGGTGCCTGGCACATAGTGAGCACTCTGTAAAGGTTAAACATTTTTATTAACAGTGATGAATTAAATCTTCAAAGAACATCTCTACACACCACCATGTGTTTGCTGAAGATCCAGTTGATAATCCAGGATAGAATTTTGCAATTAATGCATTTAAAGCTTTGAAAAAAGAAGAATTACAATTACACATATATTGTATATGTATGTGTGTATATATATATATATTTCCTTCTTTCTTTAATTAAAAAAGTAACATATATGTTGCTATATATATATATTCCAACATATATACATATTTCCTTCTTTCTTTAATTAAAAACGTAACGTATACTATATACCTGAATCCAAAATTTCTCCTAGGGCAAAAATGCTGATTCAAAAAAATTTGAATTGTGAGTTATGACTTATAATTATGAAAATCAAACTCCACTGCATTGAGGTCAACTTAATTTTCTTAGAAAAGAAACGTGCACACTGTGCTCTTCTGTTAGACGATGGCATAAATCTCTTCGGGTTGTGAGTGGTAATGATTTACCTTATATTTTGTTGAACAAGGAAGCAGAGCAATTATCCACAATAGCTCAGGTGAGAAAAAAATCATCCGACTAGGTAGCTCTTGTGTAAAGGTTTAACTCATCAGGAGATCTCAAAAGGAAACTAGACTTAGGTTTAATTCAAATTCAGGATGACACTTCAAGGATCAGTCCCTTACCAGCTTTCAGATTGTACATGGTGTTTATTCCTCATGGAGAAGAGAAACTGGGGAGCAGATAGGAGTCATGGAGAAATTCTCCAGTTTACAGAGGAATGCTGTGTCAACTCCTCTTTCCCGGACAGAATTATGCTGTGTGAACACTCACTGATTTTGTTGATTCTCAGTTAATTAAAAAAAAAAAAAGGTAAAAATAAACTTGACCCTGTCCCCAAACACTGGCTCTTGCACTTTTTTGTCTTATCTTGGTTCTGTCTTTGGATGCCTGTCCTGTCCTATCTGGTGTTAGCTACATGCTTGTGGATGTTGCACTTAAGATCAAGGGATTTTCCTGGATATCCTTTTTAACTTTCTGTCTCATTGATCTGTCTAATGTTGACAGTGGGGTGTTAAAGTCTTCCATTATTATTGTGTGGGAGTCTAAGTCTCTTTGTAAGTATCTAAGGACTTGCTTTATGAATCTGGGTGCTCCTGTATTGGGTGCATATATATTTAGGATGGTTAGCTCTTCTTGTTGAATTGATCCCTTTACCATTATGTAATGGCCTTCTTTGTCTCTCTTGATGTTTGTTGGTTTAAAGTCTGTTTTATCAGAGACTAGGATTGCAACCCCTGCCTTTTTTTGTTTTCCATTTGCTTGGTAGATCTTCCTCCATCCCTTTATTTTGAGCCTATGTGTGTCTCTGCACATGAGATGGGTTTCCTGAATACAGCACACTGATGGGTCTTGACTCTTTATCCAATTTGCCAGTCTGCATCTTTTAATTGGAGAATTTAGCCCTTTTACACTTAAGGTTAATATTGTTATGTGTGAATTTGATCATGTCATTATGATGTTAGCTGGTTATTTTGCTCATTAGTTGATGCAGTTTCTTCCTAGCCTCAATGCTCTTTACAATTGGCATGTTTTTGCAGTGGCTGGTACCAGTTATTCCTCTCCATGTTTAGTGCTTCCTTCAGGAACTCTTGTAGGGTGGGCCTGGTGGTGACAAAATCTCTCAGCATTTGCTTGTCTGTAAAGGATTTTATTTCTCCTTCACTTTTGAAGCTTAGTTTGGCTGGATATGAAATTCTGGGTTGAAAATTCCTTTCTTTAAGAATGTTGAATATTGGCCCCCACTCTCTTCTGACTTGCAGAGTTTCTGCCAAGAGATCTGCTGTTAGTCTGATGGGCTTCCCTTTGTGGGTAACCCGACCTTTCTCTCTGGCTGCCCTTAACATTTTTTCCTTCATTTCAACTTTGGTGAATCTGATAATTATGGATTGAACTCACCTCTGCACCAAGCAGACCTAATAGACATCTACAGAACTCTCCAACCCCAAATCAACAGAATATACATTCTTCTCAGCACCACATTGCACTTATTCCAAAATTGACCACATAGTTGGAAGTAAAGCACTCCTCAGCAAATGTAAAGAACAGAAGTTATAACAAACTGTCTCTCAGACCACAGTGCAATCAAACTAGAACTCAGGATTAAGAAACTCACTCAAAACTGCTCAACTACATGGAAACTGAACAACCTGCTCCTGAATGACTACTGGGTACATAATGAAATGAAGGTAGAAATAAAGATGTTCTTTGAAACCAATGAGAACAAAGACACAACATACCAGAATCTCTGGGACACATTTAAAGCAGTGTGTAGAGGGAAATTTATAGCACTAAATGCCCACAAGAGAAAGCAGGAAAGATCTAAAATTGACACCCTAACATCACAATTAAAAGAACTAGAGAAGCAAGAGCAAACACATTCAAAAGCTATCAGAAGGCAAGAAATAACTAAGATCAGAGCAGAACTGAAGGAGATAGAGACACAAAAAACCCTTCAACAAACCAATGAATACAGGAGGTGGTTTTTTGAAAAGATCAATGAAATTGATAGACTGCTAGCAAGACTAATAAAGAAGAAAAGAGAGAAGAATCAAATAGACGCAATAAAAAATGATAAAGGGGATATCACCACCGATCCCACAGAATTACAAACTAACATCAGAGAATACTATAAATACTTCTACGCAAATAAACTAGAAAATCTAGAAGAAACGGATAAATTCCTGGACACTTACACCCTCCCAAGACTAAACCAGGAAGAAGTTGAATCTCTGAATAGACCAATAACAGGTTCTGAAATTGAGGCAATAATTAAGAGCCTACCAACCAAAAAAAGTCCAAGACCAGATGGATTCACAGCCGATTTCTATCAGAGGTACAAGGAGGAGCTGGTACCATTCCTTCTGAAACTATTCCAATCAATAGAAAAAGAGGGAATCCTCCCTAACTCATTTTATGAGGCCAGCATCATCCTGATACCAAAGCCTGGCAGAGACACGACAAAAAAAGAGAATTTTAGACCAATATCCCTGATGAACATTGATGCAAAAATCCTCAATAAAATACTGGCAAGCCAAATCCAGCAGCACATCAAAAAGCTTATCCACCATGATCAAGTGGGCTTCATCCCTGGGATGCAAGGCTGGTTCAGCATATGCAAATCAATAAACGTAATCCAGCATATAAACAGAACCAATGACAAAAACCACATGATTATCTCAATAGGTGCAGAAAAGGCCTTTGATAAAATTCAACAGCCCTTCATGCTAAAAACTCTCAATAAATTAGGTATTGATGGGACATATCTCAAAATAATAAGAGCTATTTATGACAAACCCACAGCCAATATCATACTGAAGGGGCAAAAACTGGAAGCATTCCCTTTGAAAACTGGCACAAGACAGGGATGCCATCTCTCACCACTCCTATTCAACATAGTGTTGGAAGTTCTGGCCAGGGCAATCAGGCAGGAGAAAGAAATAAAGGATATTCAATTAGGAAAAGAGGAAGTCAAATTGTCCCTGTTTGCAGATGACATGATTATATATTTAGAAAACCCCATCGTCTCAGGCCAAAATCTCCTTAAGCTGATAAGCAACTTCAGCAAACTCTCAGGATACAAAATCAATGTGCAAATATCACAAGCAGTCTTATACACCAATAACAGACAAACAGAGAGCCAAATCATGAGTGAACTCCCATTCACAATTGCTTCAAAGAGAATAAAATCCCTAGGAATCCAACTTCCAAGGGATGTGAAGGACCTCTTCAAGGACAACTTCAAACCACTGCTCAACGAAATAAAAGAGGACACAAACAAAGAGAAGAACATTCCATGCTCATGGATAGGAATAATCAGTATCGTGAAAATGGCCATACTGTCCAAGGTAATTTATAGATTCAGTGCTATCCCCATCAAGCTACGAATGACTTTCTTCACAGAATTGGAAAAAACTACTTTAAAGTTCATATGGAACCAAAAAAGAGCCTGCATTGCCAAGACAATCCTAAGCCAAAAGAACAAAGCCGGAGGCATCATGCTACCTGACTTCAAACTATACTACAAGGCTACAGTAACCAAAACAGCATGGCACTGGTACCAAAACAGAGATATAGACCAATGGAACAGAACGGAGCCCTCAGAAATAATACCACACATCTACAACCATCTCATCTTTGACAAACCTGACAAAAACAAGCGTTGGGGAAAGGATTCCCTATTTAATAAATGGTGCTGGGAAAACTGGCTAGCCATATGTAGAAAGCTGAAACTGGATCCCTTCCTTACACCTTATACAAAAATTAATTCAAGATGGATTAAAGACTTACATGTTAGACCTAAAACCATAAAAACCCTAGAAGAAAACCTAGGCAATACCATTCAGGACATAGGCATGGGCAAGGACTTCATGTCTAAAACACCAAAAGCAATGGCAACAAAAGGTCAAAATTGACAAATGGTATCTAATTAAACTAAAGAGCTTCTGCACAGCAAAAGAAACTACCAGAGTTAACAGGCAATCTACAGAATGGAAGAAAATTTTTGCAATCTACTCATCTGAGAAAGGGTAATATCCAGAATCTACAAAGAACTCAATCAAATTTACAAGAAAAAAACAAACAACCCCATCAAAAAGTGGGCGAAGGACATGAACAGACACTTCTCAAAAGAAGACATTTATGCAGCCAAAAAACACATGAAGAAATGCTCATCATCACTGGCCATCAGAGAAATGCAAGTCAAAACCACAATAAGATACCACCTCACACCAGTTAGAATGGCAATCATTAAAAAGTCAGGAAACAACAGGTGCTGGAGAGGATGTGGAGAAATAGGAACACTTTTACACTGTTGGTGGGACTGTAAACTAGTTCAACCATTGTGGGAGACAGTGTGGCGATTCCTCAAGGGTCTAGAACTAGAAATACCATTTGACCCAGCCATCCCATTACTGGGTATATGCCCAAAGGATTATAAATCATGCTGCTATAAAGACACATGCACACGTATGTCTATTGCGGCACTATTCACAATAGCAAAGACTTGGAACCAACCCAAATGTCCATCAGCAATAGACTGGATTAAGTAAATATGGCATATATACACCATGGAATACTATGCAGCCATAAAAAAGGATGAGTTCATGTCCTTTGTAGGGACATGGATGAGGCTAGAAACCATCATTCTCAGCAAACTATCGCAAGGACAAAAAACCAAACACCACATGTTCTCACTCATAGGTGGGAATTGAACATTGAGAACACTTGGACTCATTGTTCACACAGGAAGGGGAACATCACACACCCGGGCCTGTTGTGGGGTGGGGGGAGTGGGGAGGCATAGCATTAGGAGACGTACCTAATGTAAATGACGAGTTAATGGGTGCAGCACACCAACATGGCACATGTACACATATGTAACAAATCTGCACGTTGTGCACATGTACCCTAGAACTTAAAGTATAATTAAAAAAAAAAAAAGATCAAGGGCTTTACTATCCACAGACCCAGGTTGCAGGTCCTGTTTTAGAGGAAGTGGCAAGTTTCTTAAATCCCACCACCCAGAGGTGGCTCTTTCCAGCCTCTTCTCACTCATATCAGATGTAGGCTTTTCATCCCTGTCTAGGATACTCGTGTGTGTTCTTCCGGGAATCACAGTGAGTGAGCCAGAAAAGCACTGGACATTGTCTCAAAAGCCTCCACTGTGAGTTGTCTGCCACAGATACTGACACCCCAGTGGGTTACAGAGCAAATCTGCAATCATACAGAGGTTTCTGTGCTACGCCACCATGACTCACTGCTGGTGATCTGAGGTTCTCAGGCCCCACCTTTCCCCAGCCTGCCTGCCTTCGGGCTGCAGTGTGGTCGAGGCCAGATTGCAGTGGCCTTGAGATGGCAGACAGCTGGTGGGTACCCAGCATTCAGCAGTGGGACCACACCAGCTATTTATGGTGAGCTCCTTCTGGATTGGTTGGTATTTGGACCTTATTGGTTGTTAAATGTTAACATTAATTCATCTAAAGCTTTGAAAAAAGAATTATCATTGCATATATATATATATATATATATATATATATATATATATATATATATATATTCTGTTTTTCCTTTAGTTAAAAAAGTAACATATACTATATACTTCAATTCAAAATCTCTCCTGGGGCAAAATTACTGATTCAAAAAAAAAATGGAAATATCACCGCTGGTTGCATGTGACAGAAACCTAGTTTTTATTGTACCTTTCCAAACCCAGGGGAGGAACCACAACCATCCTCTCTGTCTCTATGCCTCTCTCTCTCTCTCACACTCCTATCCAGCCATCTCTACTTATTTTTGAACACAGCAGAAAATGGCTGTCCCAAAGCTCCCAATTATTTCATTTCAAACCTCTAGCAGAAACCAACCAGGGTCTCTGAATTGCAATTCAGAATTCCTGGGGGAGAGAATCTAATTGGCCTAGTTTGGATCAGGTGTCCGTCTCTGGTCCAGTCAGCTGTGGCTGGGGGCGGTGGGGGGTCACAGTCACAGAACACAAGCACACCATTTAGCCTGCCCCTGGGAGTGATGGGGTGGGCAGTTGTCTGAGAAAGGCGCGGTGGTAGGCGGCTTCTGAAATGCCTCCCAATGATCCCGACCTACTGGTATCGACACCTCTGTGTAATCACTACCCCTTGAGTAAGGGCTGGACCTGGTGGCTCACTTCTAATGAATCAACTCTGCCAATAGTAAGGAGCTGTCACTTCCAAAATTAGGTTACAAAAGACCATGACTTCCATTTTGCACACTCTTTCTCTCTGGTTCTTCTTGTTCACTTGCTCTGAGAAAGCAAGCTGCTGTGTGTGCCCTGGGGAGTGGTCCATGTGGCAAGGGACAGAGGGTGGCCTCTGGCCTAGTGCCAGTGAGGGACTAAATCCTGCTAACAACCAAAGAGAGAGAATGGGAGTGGACCCTTCCCCAGTCCAGCCTTGAGATGGCTGCAGCCTTGCCTGTCACCTTGATAGTAGCCTCATGAGAGACGGTGAGGTAGAGTCACCCTGCTAAGCCATGCACAGATTCCTGACCCACAGAAACTGTGAGATAACAGATGTTGTTTTAAGCCACTAAGTTTTATCCCACCATTCCAGCAATCCTGCTCCTAAGCTGCTAAATATTGGGGCAATTTGTTATGCAGCAATAGATAACTCATACAGGTATTTCATGATTGGAGAGACTCTTGAGGTCAGATGCCCGTGTCTTGTCCTTGCTTCATCATGTACCAGCTGTGGTCTTGTACAAGTCATGGAACCTATTCAAGCCACATTCTCCTCTGTAAAATAGAGATAATAATAACAATATGGTTGCTGTGAGGACTAAATGAGATAATATAAACCCAGTGCTTCCACTTAGTTTAGGTATATTAATATTGACTAATTAAAATGAATATTAGCAATATCAGTAAAGTTTAGCTATTGTTAGTGAGCTGTCACAGCTCTTCTAACCCTACATATTTGGGTCATTGGTGCCTCAGTGCCATCTTCAAAGAAATCTGGAGAATTTTATGCTCTTTACAGAAATGATATGGAAAGAAACATAAAATATCCAAAAATCTTGAAGCAAATGGCTATTTAACTACTAAATATACAGAACTATTTTCATTTAACTCATTTTGGTCATACAGCAAAGGACAATTGCATATCATGGAGAAGACAAATAGAAATTGAACCAGTGCTCTCAGATTTGAAATATAAAAAAACAATTTGAGTTGATGGAATAAAGTTTGTTTTTGTAGTTTCCTCCCACAGCAAGGCATCTGACAACTTTCTGCAGCCAATTATTTTGTGCATGGAAATGCCAGGGCGCTGTGCAGGTGGCAATCCACCACAGAGACGAGCCTGAAGATGAGGGGCACAGGGGTTGTCACTGGAACTTTCAAGGTTTCTGCCTTCTGAGGCCAAAATCCATGATGTCAAGGGTTTGATGGGATTTGCTTATTAATTCCAAGCACAAATGCTCAGTTCCTGTGTTTTCATTCCTCCTTGAGATGTGGTCTTTCTACCACTGGGAACTGTAAACCTTGTTTAGTAGTGAGAGAGGCTAGATTTGCAGATCCCCAACCGCACCTCACCTTCATCCTTTCACTGCTCCAGCCCAGGGCCACTGTTGGAGCCCAGATTTCCTACCTGCCATGGCTGTGTGTTCGTTCCAGGAGCCAGGGGCTCAGCCTACCGGCCTCCTCTTCTCCATCCATTCACACCGCTGTGCCTCTTCCTTCCTGAGCCTGGCTACTGGGGGTGAGGGCGGTGTAGGTAGCTTCCTTAGCTCCCCTACTTTTCCTGTCTTAAGGTCAGGCACAGTAGAAGCCCTTTCTGTGTGAAAAGCAGCATTACTCCTTGCTGAGAAAACAAAGGGCAGCAGAAAGATTGAATGAGAAGTATAGTGGGCAGGTACCCTTTACAAAAAAAATGCCAAGCCCCCTGAGGACAGACTGTCTCTGCCATGAAGCTGGGTGCTTCTGGGGTCTG
The DNA here is from genome assembly GCF_000001405.40 of Homo sapiens. NCBI lineage: Eukaryota > Metazoa > Chordata > Mammalia > Primates > Hominidae > Homo > Homo sapiens. The sequence goes on along the minus strand of NW_013171813.1, from coordinate 168,907 downwards.
GTGGGGGTCACTGCATTTCATCTCCCTCACGCCAACCCTGTCCCTAAGGATGCTAGAAAAAAATTGACGGTATATCTATCTGTCTGTCTATCTATCTATCTATCTATCTATCTATCTATCTATCTATCTATATTTGTTTTTGCTTCCAGAATCACCCTCCTCCAATCCTCAATGAAATAAACCAATTAAAAAAATTACCAGTAACAAGTACACAAGGAAAGAGGCGATCCTCTTGCTATAAACTGAAAAGTATCCAACAAGAAGAAAAGCAGGAGATTTTAGTGTGACTTAATGTAGCCCCTCTTCCTACAGAATGATACAAAAGTAAGTGAGTCTCAAAACCTTGAAAATTCTCACCAAATACCCCCGATTTGGATAGAAGCAGACAAAGTTGGGAATAGGGGGCTTAGAAAAAAGTCAAAGAAATCTTCTTAAGTGCAGAGGCTCCTATGTGTGGTTTCAATATTTCCTGGCTCAATACAAGTTGAGCCAGGAAAAGCCCCAAAGTGTTACCATCTCCCAGGACCCCGTGCTGAATCCGGGGACTGATCTGAAGTCTGAGAATACTCCCACTCCATGAGAAGAGGGAGAAAGGGAGTACCCCAAACTGGACATTACCAAAACCTTAGAAGAGAGGGTAAGCCCAGTACTATACCAAAGGCTGCAGAAAGTTTGCCAAGCTTTTTCCAAGTTCCTGTCCCCTTGCATTAAAATAGTATCTGGAAGGGAAAAAAGACCCCAGGTAAGGTTGGGAGGGTTTCACTGATAATTACTCTTCTTTTTGTCAGAGCCAAAAGAAGAACTGGACAGAGCTGTCTGCTTGAAGCATGAGCAAGATGAAAAGAAGCAATATGGTTACTAAGCAAGCATTTTGCAGAAGAATACAATGAAAGCAAAGACTTAAATAAGCATGGCAGGCATAAAACAGAGGAAAGACTGCAAGAAACAATAACCCAAGGAACCTAGGAAAAGTTTCTTGCAATTGCTTCAAGCTGCAGAGGAAATTGTTAAAAACATGAATTCAATAAGACAAGAGCCAAAACCAAAACCAAACAAAACCCAAATACTTCAGTCATGAAATTCAACAAACCAAAAGACAAACAGAGAAGCCAAAGAAAGAAGAATGAATGCAACACTCATTCCCAGGCAATCTTGGAGCAACTTCTGCAAACCTGTGGGGGAAAGAAAGTATAAATGTCCTTTGGGGATAAAGGCAATAGAAGACATTTATTTTTATTTTTTAAGGCAGAGTCTCGCTCTGTCATCCGGGCTAGAATGCAGTGGCATGTTCATAGCTCATCGCAGCCTTGACCTCCAGGGCTCAAGCAATATTCTCACCTCAGCCTCCTGAGTAGCTGGGACTACAGGCACGCACCACCATGCCTGTTTAATTTTGTTTATTTTTTCTAGAGATGAGGTCTCACTATGTTGCCCAGGCTGGTCTCAAACTCCTGAGCTTAAGCTATCCTCCCACCACGGCCTCCCAAAGTGCTGGGATTGTAGGTGTGAGCCACCATGCCTGGCCAATAGGAGACATTTTAAACTTGCCCTATTTAAACTTGGCATCTATGAACCCTCTTGAAAAAAGCATAAATAGAAAAACCATAGAGTCCTCTTACTAAAGGATTCAAAGGGAATCAACTTTTATATATGATGATAAAAAGATTTGCATTTGCACAACTTGGAGAATGAGTTACCATCTCATTCCAGTCCCAAACAGTTGACTGTGGGAGGCTATGGGTGGAAGAGGTGTTTGGAACTGAAATTCAATTTTAACTCCATCTGAGAAGCTTACAAGGCATCCCAGTGGAGATGTTGAATAGGCAGTTGGATCTAAGAGACTAGAAGTTGGAAGACAGGTCTGGGATGAAGATACACATTTGGGAGTCATAGACATACAGGTGGTATTTAAGGCTTGAGAGTGGATGAGATCACTCAAAGGGTGTAGACAAGAAGGCCAAGGAATAAGCCTTTGTTCACTCCAGTATTAAGAAATCAGGAAGAGGAGGAGGAATGAGCAAAGAAGACTGAGGTGGAAAGTCAGTGAGGAAGGAAGAAAACCAGAAGAGGGTGGTATCTGGAAGGCCAAGTGAAGGACGGGTATCAAGCAGAAATGCCATCAGCTGTGTCAACTGTGGCTGAAAGATCAAAGTAAGATGAGATCTGAGGATTATCCACTGTTTTTAGCAATGCAGAAGTCATGGGCGACTTTGACAAGAGTGTTTCAGTGGAGCTGGAGCTGTCGAGTTGAAAGCCGGCTTGGAGGGAGTTTAAGAGAAAGAGTTGGAGAGGAATTGGAGCAGTAAATATAGACAAGTTTTTCAAGAAGTTTTGCTGCAAATGGGGCAGATAAATAGGTGAAAGCTGGCTGGGGTGGTGAGGTTGAGATAATTTTTTTTTTTTTTTTTGAGATGGAGTCTTGCCCTGTTGCCCAGGCTGGAGTGCAGTGGCACTATCTTGGCTCACTGTAAGCTCCACCTCCTGGGTTCACGCCATTCTCCTGCCTCAGCCTCCCGAGTAGCTGGGGCTACAGGTGCCTGCCACCACGCCCAGCTAATTTTTTGTATTTTCAGTAGAGACGGGTTTCACTGTTAGCCAGGATGGTCTCAATCTCCTGACCTCATGATTCACCCTCCTCGGCCTCCCAAAGTGCTGAGATTACAGGTGTGAGCCACCGCGCCCGGCCAAGATAATTATTTTTTCAAGATGGAACTGGATGTGGTGAGTAAGGTTAAGAGGGGTGATTTCTAATTCTGTTAGGCAATTGGCCAGCTGATTCTAGCCTCAGTAATGAGCTCTGGGTTGGAAAAATAAACTTGAGGATCATCATTAGATTTAAAATTGCCTAGAGATGGCCCAGTGAGGTGATTTATGCTGTAATCCTAGCACTTTGGGGGGCCAAGGCAGGGGTATCGAGCTTAGGAGTTCAAGAGCAGCCTGGGCAATATGGCGAAACCCTGTCTCTACAAAAAATACAAAAATTAGCTGGGCATGGTGGCGTGCACGTGTAGTCTCAGCTACTTGGAAGACTGAGGTTGAAGAGGGGTCGCTTGAGCCTGGGAGGCGGAGGTTGCAATAAGGTGAGATCGAGCCACTGCACTCCAGCCTGGGCGACAGAGCTAGACCCTGTCTCAAAAAAAAAAAAAAAAAAAAGGCCTAGAGATGAGATGATATGTCCTAGGGGAGTATGTAGACTAAGAGTCAAGGGCCTAGCAGAGAACCCTGAAGATACAGTTTTTTAACAAATAGGCAGAGTTAGTTGTTAAAAATCTGTATCTTCAGAGTGTTGGGGGCATGGTTTCCTCCTATGGTCATTCTTCTGTAGGCTTCTGTGTAGGTCTACAAAGCCAACAAAGAAGCCTAAAGGAGAATGACCACAGGAGTAAAATCAGGAGATCATGTTGTCACAAGAACCACGGAAAAGAATGTTTCATTTCAATAGGGTTGATGAGTGCCAGAGATTTAGTAAAGAGCAAAGAATTCTGAGTTGGATGTAGCACCATAGGAAGTTATTTGGGATCTTCAAGGAGAACGTTTCAGGAATATAATGGAAGAGAAGGAGATTTGTCATTAGTTGAGAAATTATTGGAATGATGAACTGGAGACAGTGAACACAGAACCCTATCAGGAACTTTGACTGTGAAGGAGGTAGAGCGAGAGAAAGGGCAACAATTGGAGGAGGAGAGACTTACTTTCAAGATGGTAGAGCTATGCATGACTAAACGTTGATGGAAGGTTTCCAGGAGAAAAAGAGAGATGGAGAGAGGGGAGAGTGGGGAGAGGAAGGCAGGGAAGGGTGGGGAGAGGAAGGCAGGGGAGGAAAAAGGAGGGGAGGAGGGGAGGAGGGGAGAAAGAACTCTGAAACTTCCTCCACTTATAAAATAATAAAACTATCTGAAATCAGTTGGAACCAATATGGCAATGGACTGAGCTTGCTGACATCATAGCCTGAATTTCCGCTGCATACTTTCCCATCAGGAAGTATAAAGCATTAACTGTGCATGCCCAAGGACCTTCCAGACCTCCCCTTTCCTTCCACCAATCACCAGCGGCTAATCCCAGAATCCACTCCCAAACAGTTTCTAATGCAATTACTGCCTTGAAGCCAGCACAGGAAGACAGATTTGAGCTGGACTCCTCTCTTCTCATTTGTCAACTTGTAATAAAAGCCATTCTCTTCTCAAACACCCAGTATCATAGTATTGGCTTCTAACACACTGAGCATTGAGCTGCTTTTGCTAGGTAACAAGAGAATGTTCAACAAAGAAAAAGAAACTAGACATGCAAGAGTGTCTATTTATCATCTTCTACAGCAAGCTTCCACAAATAAGGATCCACCAGCCAAATCCAGCCCACTGCCTGTTTTTGCGGTAAAGTTTGATTGCAATTCAGCCACACCCACCTGTTTACACATTGTCTATGGCTGCCTTACAGTTACATCAGAGTTGAGTGGTTGTGACAGAGACCTTATGATCTGCAAAGACAGAAGTTTTACTATCGGCCCTTTACAGAGAATTTTTGTCAATCCCTGTTCTATAGGAAAGATGGGAAGGTTTTGGAGAAAAGGCAACCTTCAGAAAAATCCAACTTCTGAGTCTGTTTCCTTTTCTGCAAAATAAGGACACCATTCATTAAATCAGTCTTTCATTTCACAAACATTTATTGATTGCTACTATGTGCCAGAAGCTGGGAGTGCAGAGATCAATAAGATCTAGCCTTGTCCTTTGAAAGCCCATGGTCTAGTAGCAGAGATAGATGGATAAACAAATAGTTGGAATACTTAGAGTCCAATGCTACGTGCATGCTATGCAGATGAAGGGGAGGCATTTTACCTGGCTTGGATGGGGCTGGGAAGGAATCATTGGCATATGAGGTTGCTATGGTTGAGAATGAAACCAGTCAGTGATTAGTGTGGCACAAGTAAAGATCAAAGAGAATCAAAGAGGAAGAATTCTGGAAAGCACTAAGATAGAAGGGCTAAGGGAAGGGAGACTGAGAAGGAGCAGTGAGAGAGGTAGAAGGAGAACAAGGAATGTGTTCCTGGTTGATTTTAGAACTATAGCACCCTATCTTCCAAAAAAGAACAGACATTTTTCCAGAGCCTAACATTTATCAGATACTGGCTAAGTGCAAGAATCTGTTCTAAGTACTTTACATTCATTTGGTAATCCTCAATACAAGCTGGTGGGAGAGGGATGTCTTCCTAGCCCAGGGTTATACAACTATTAGGTGAAATATCAATGGGACACACATAGGATACCACTCTATCACTCTGCCCTTGATACACCTCCCTAGCTGATCATTGCCCTCCCTGCTGAGTCCAGATGTGGCTTCACAATGTGTCTCAACAGAGCTTTCTGGGCAGCCACCACCAATCAGTTGGAGTTGGCCCCTGAAATGAAATCTATCTTATTTTTTATCCCGTCTTTTTTTTTTTTTTTTTTTTTTTTAGTTTTTAGAATCTATGTTTTTGAATTTCCCATTACAAAAAAAAAACTCTATAAAAATGCTACTGGTTGTATTTGATAAAAATTTTGCACTTGATTTTCCATTATTTAATTTAGCATTGATCAAACTCTTTGAAGACGGCAAATAGTGTTTTTCTTTCTTTCCATTTTCAGCTACTGCCTTCTTAAGCACATTTTCTTTTTTTTTAATTATACTTTAAGTTTTAGGGTACATGTGCACAACGTGCAGGTTTGTTACATATGTATACATGTGCCATGCTGGTGTGCTGCACCCATTATCTCGTCATTTAACATTAGGTATATCTCCTAATGCTATCCCTCCCCACTCCCCCCACCCCACAACAGGCCCCAGTGTGTGACGTTCCCCTTCCTGTGTCCATGTGTTCTCATTGTTCAATTCCCACCTATGAGTGAGAACATGTGGTGTTTGGTTTTTTGTCCTTGTGATAGTTTGCTGAGAATGATGGTTTCCAGCTTCATCCATGTCCCTACAAAGGACATGAACTCATCATTTTTTATGGCTGCATAGTATTCCATGGTGTATATGTGCCACATTTTCTTAATCCAGTCTATCATTGTTGGACATTTGGCTTGGCTCCAAGTCTTTGCTATTGTGAGTAGTGCCACAATAAACATACGTGTGCATGTGTCTTTATAGCGGCATGATTTATAATCCTTTGGGTATATACCCAGTAATGTGTTATCCCCTGTCTTAATGCATACCCAAGCAGTTTGTAAAGTACAAAGCACCCTTGCCTTAAAATGTGGTATTACTATTACTATTGATTATTAATAAAATTAAACAAAATAAAAACCTAACAATGACATGATAATATGTGTGACATTCAACCTAGATGTTTTGGAATCTGGAATATATTTTGGCAATGTAAATGTAACACAAATACATAACTGATCTTTAATAAATTCATTATACTCTTTTCAAATTGAGTCTAGGATGCATACTCATTCCTGGAAATCATTCCTACATGTAATTTAACTGAGCAAATAAGGAATTTCTAAAATGTACGGGAGATTGAATGGATTTAGGAATGGGGCAGATAGTCCCCTTTATTATGTTTAACATTTTAAGGAAATATTTCAAACATTCAGTAAAGAGAAAAGTATAACACCCATGTATTCACTACCTAGATTTTAAAAGTAGGCATCCCTCAGTATCCATGAGGGATTTGTTTCAGGACCTCCCTACCAGCATACCAAAATCCATGGATGCTCAAGTCCTTTATATAAAATAGTGGAGTATTTGCATATAACCAATGCACTTCCTTCCATATACTTTCAGTCATCTCTAGATTACTTGTAATACCTAATACGATGTAAATACTGTGCAACTAGTTGCTATGCTGTATTGTTTAGGGAATAATGATAAGAAAAAGAGTCTGTACATGTTCACTACAGATGCCACATAGATTTTTTCCTCCAAATATTTCTGTGATTGGCAGAATCCACAGATGTAGAAGCCAGAGATACAGAGGGCCATCTGTACTAGCATTTTGCCATTGCATCAGAGATTAATGAAAAGAATACAATTATTACAGATACAGTTGGTGTTCATTTTATGCCTTCTTCCCATCCTGAATTCTCTCCTTCTCCCTGGAGGTTACCACTCTTCAGAGGGTGGTGTGTATCCTCTTCATCCACGTCTTTATATTTTTACTATATTTATATAAATGAATACTAAACAGAATTGTTTCACATGTTTTTAAACATTACAAAAATGCTAAGGCAATGTAAAATTGTTCTGCAACTTGCCTTTATCATTCCATACTATGTTTTTGAAATGCCTTTGTGTTGATTCATGTGTTCATTCATTTTATAGCCTGTCTTCTTTCTATTCTTTGAAACCTGTCCAAATTGTTGAAGACAGAAAGCAGATATATCCGACAGCTTCTCTGTAGCAGATATGAAATCATTTGGCCTCAATTGTTTTCTCTTTTTTCCCTTTTTTCTTCTTAGTCTCTCCCCTCCCCTTTCCTCTTCTGCTCTATTAAGGATTTTGAATATAAAAGGAAATAGCAGAAGAGAGAAAACTCTTCATGGAGGGTCTGAATTTAGCACCTTATCTTCCAAAAAAGAACGGACTTTTTTTTTGGAGCAGCTAACATTTGTCAGATACCAGCGAAGTGCAAGAATCTGTTCTAAGCACTTTACATTTATTTGGTAATCTTCAATACAACCTAGTGGACAGAGGTGTCTTCCTAGCCCAGGGTAGGTGGTGATTTTAACCCAGGCATTGAGATGCCAGAGCTGATGCCCTTCCCTATTCAAAATAAAAAGTCATGTTGATCCCAGCCTCCCACAGTGTTAGGCAAGCTATGAAAAGTGAGAGTCCCCAGGGCTAGTGCTTTAACAATTTTGGGTAGTGATTCCACTACTAAATTAAGTATCATAATGATTGCTAATAATGAATAATAATAAAGTAGGTACTTGAAAATCCACAGGGCTGAGTGTTACCTCAGTTCAGTTTTCTCACCTGAACTTTAGCCACCCATTGATTTCCAGCTCCCCTATGGATATTTCCATTTGACTACGCCATGACTGTTCCTAACTCTGTAAGAACCAAGCTTAGTTATTTCTTTCCCTCTTGACCATTTCTTATTGCAGCAGATCTGGTGCCTCAGTCTGCCTTCCATGGTCTTCTGTACTCTGGTTCCTCAATACCTGCTAAAGACTGAATCCCACCACCCTCCCAAATTCCCTAATCCCCAGTGTGATGGTATTTGGAAATGGGGCCTTTGGGAGGTAATTAGGTTTAGGTGAAGCCAGGGGGATGTGGTCCTCATGATGGGATTAGTGCCCTTCTTGAAGAAGAGACAAGAGAGCTTGCTTTCTCTCCACCATGTGAGAATACAGCAAGAAGCTGGCCATCTGCAAGCCAGTAAGAGAGCCTCAATCTCGAACTTCTAATCTCCCACTTGAGAAAACAAATTTCTGATGTTTAAGCCACACTCTCTGGTATTTGTTGTAACAGCCTGATATGGTTTGGTTCCGTGTCCCCACCCAAATCTCATTTTGAATTATAATTGACAGAGCAGGAGTATCGCCATCTTGGACAAGGACTGTCATTTAAAAATTCACCTTAATCAAAAACCACCTAAATCCAAAGGGCATCAGCCTAATGGCTAAGGTCAGCATGAACATAAACCACAAATAACATCTCTGACCAGAAACATTCCAAACTCCTCCCTGATCAGAAACATGCTAGCCCCAAGATAAGCCCCCTCTGGCCAGGAAGATGCTAGCCTCAGATAACTCCCCTCTGGCCAGGAAGATGTCAGGCCAAGATAATAGAAACATTCCAACCCCACCATAAACTTCTCCCCCCACCCCCAAAGAAACATCCAAGCTTGTGATAAACCTGCTCACCCTAAAACCAATTTATACTCTTAGTCGGGAAGAGAAAGTGCTCCTGACCAAAATCAGCCAGAAGCCCCCTCAGGTTTTTTCTCTAAAATAAACCTGTCTTTGACTGTTAAGCCTTGTTTCATATTTCTTTCCTCTTTCTTTAACTCTTAAAGTAATAATCCCCACATGTTGTGGGAGAGAGCTGGTGGCAGGTAATTTAATTATGGGGGGCAGGTTTTTCCCATGCTGTTCTCATGATAGTAAATAAGTCTCATGAGATCTGATGGTTTTATAAAGGGGAGTTCCCTTGCACAAGTTCTCTTGACTACCGCCATGTAAGACGTGCCTTTGCTTCTCCTTTGCCTTCTGCCACGATTGTGAGGCCTCCCCAGGCATGTGGAACTGTGAGTCCATTAAACCTCTTTCCTTTATAAATTACCCAGTCTCAGGTATGTCTGTATTAGCAGCATGAGAACAGACTAATACACAGCCCAAGCTAAGACACTATATATAGCACCTAAGCCACCTATTTAGCATTTAAACGTATTAACTTTCCATCCCTTTTCTGCAAATCTACATTACCTGTCCTCTTGCCTGTTTTTTCACTCATTATTTTCCTGAGCTAGGCTGGCACTCCCCTTCCCCACGTAACTTCACCCTTAAAAGAACAGAAATTAAAGTTTCTTTTTCCCTAGTCTTTTCCTATATTTTTCCTACTAACTTCATTCTTTAGACTCCTACAACACTTAACTTGTACCACACAATATAGCACTTACTTGTATAAATGCTATTCACTTTGCAATAAATCCCTGTACTTTATTATTATTTTGAGACAGGGTCTCACTCTGTTGTACTGGCTAGAGTGCAGTGGTGTGATCTCAGCTCACTGCATCCTCAACCTCCTGGGCTCAGGTGATCCACCTCAGCCTCCCTTGTAGCTGAGATTACAGGTGCACACCACCATGCCAGGTTAATTTTTTGTTTTTCAGTAGAGACGGGGTTTCACTATGTTGCCTAGGCTGGTCTCAAACTCCTGGACTCAAGCAGTCTGCCCGCCTTGGCCTCCCAGAATGCTGGGATTACAGGCATAAGCCACCACACCCAGCCCGTGCTTTCTTTCTTTTTTTTTTTTTTTTTTTTTGTGAGACGGAGTCTCGCTCTGTCACCCAGGCTGGAGTGCAGTGGTGCAATCTCGGTTCACTGCAAGTTCCACCTCCTGGGTTCATGCCATCCTCCTGCCTCAGCCTCCCTAGAGCTGGGACTACAGGCACCCGCCACCACACCTGGCTAATTTTTTTGTATTTTTAGTAGATACCGGGTTTCACCATGTTAGCCAGGATGGTCTTGATCTCCTGACCTTGTGATCTCCTGCCTCAGCCTCCTAAAGTGCTGGAATTACAGGCGTGAGCCACCGCGCCTGGTGCCCATGCTTTCATTATTTTTTAAAAATGCTATTTATTTTTAAACATCTTGTGTCTGCAATAAAATGATAAACTCTTCAAGGGAGGGCCATATATTGCATTCTTCTTCCACGTATCAGTGTTTCCCAATATTTTTAAATGTCTGAGCCCATCTCATAGCAATACACATTCTCTCTCTTTTTTTCTGTTCTTTTTATTATTATTACTATACTTTATGTTTTGAGATACATAAAGCAGAATATGCAGGTTTGTTACATAGGTATATATGTGCCACAGTGGTTTGCTGCACCCATCAACCTGTTATCTACATTAGGTGCAATATACATTCTCTATTAAACTCTTAACAATTTTTTCTTCAAAAATCTATTGGTCATTTTTGCATGAAAGAAAATAAAGAAGTGTGTATTAGTCTACCTTGGCTGCCATAACAAAATATCACAAGACACAGCGACTTAAACAACAGAAGTTTATTTTCTCACAGTTCTAGGGGCTATAAGTCCAAGATCAAAGACAAAGTGCTGGCAGGGCTGGTTTCTAGTGAGGCTTCTCTTCCTGGCTTGCAGACAGCTGTCTTCTTGCTGTGTCCTCACATGGCCTTTCCTCGGTGTGTGTGTGTGGAGACAGAGAGAGAGAGAGAGAGAGAGATTGAGATTTCTGGTGTCTGTTCCTCTTTTTATAAAGGCATCAGTCCTATCAGGTTAGGGCGCCACCCTTAGAATCTTTGTAACCTTAATTACCTCCTTTAAGGCCCTAGCTCCAAATCCATTCAGGAGTTAGAACTTCAACAGAAGCATCTGGTTGGGGGGGCACAATTCAGTCCATAAAAAACTATTTTAAGTAAAAATGTATTTTGGGTCAGCATATTATTAATGACTCTATTATAAATCTTATTTTAAGATTAATCTTAAACATAATCTTTTTTTTTTTAGAAGTCCAGTTACCTTGGAGTTTATTTAAATAAGAGAAAAAGGTCATAATGTTTTCATGCAATACATACTTGGTTCTTTAAATAACAATTGTGTGACATATAGCAGAAGGAATTAAGGAATGCTGCACTTGTGATCCATACAAAACACCAACATTTTAGGTTGTACATAATTAGAGAAATATCTGAAACACTTTTTAAAACACTGTAGTAGCCAATACATAGAGGCATGCCGTAGGTGGGCACAGGAATGCAGTTTAGAAAAGAAAAAAAAATCACATAGGAACTACTCAATTTCTTTAAAATCACTGAGCAAGAACAGCAACATTGAACTTTCATACTGATTTTACACAACTTCTATACAGTACCTTGACTTAAATCCAAGAGCAAAAGTTAAGACTCTCCTTCTCTATTTTTGGTAAACAACTGCATGGTAAACTTAGATGACTCTTCCCCCTGGATTTTACCTGGGAGTGGCCTTTTTACATTTTTATTTAAAAGAGGGCAGGTTTGGCACTTTTATACTGATGTCACCAATGTTAATATTTCTTGGGATCTCAGGAAGATTCATATTCTTTACAGCTGATACAGCACGGGCTAGAGCTCCTGCTAAGCCAGCCTCAGATTTTTCCAGCTTATTTTGTGCATCAATTTGTGTAACAATCTCATTCATATTTGTCTCCAATACCATTCCCCCCATCACCATTTCTGCAAGAATATTGTGAACCTTGTCTACATGGAAAATCAAATCCAGCTCACAGACATTTTCAAAACATTTGTCTAATGTTTCCACAAATACTTGAATTAGATCTAAAATGCCAAGTTCACTTTCTGAAGAATCCACACAGAAGACAAAATATAACGTTGCATAATGTCTATAAATCAGTTTGTTGTCAGATCCTCCAATTAATAATCCTCCTTCTAGGAAATTACAAACATTTTCATCTCAGATACCAAATGGAAAGTCTCCCTGATGATTTGCTGTTGTGTATCTTCACTGTAGGGCTGGTAGAACTTGGAGAGCCGCGGCTTCCCGTGGTTGTTGAAGATTAGGATCGCCTTGATCATGGCTGTGCCGGGCCGACCGGGTGGGCACTGGGGGCCAGGGCGGGGGCGGGCGCGCGAGCCTCGCCTGCCTCGTAATCTCGCCTGCGATCCTTCCCCACCCGCCCCCTCCCGCACGCGCCCGCGCGCACTCCCAAACATAATTTTTAATGATATTTATAACATATAAAATACACTTTGAGTTTTCCCCAACTTAGTGACTCACACTGTTTAGTTAACTTGAAATTCACTATGTAAGAAAGAAAAACATGAATTACTGAGAAATAAATTTTAAGAAAGACATTTCACATTGAATTTTAGTACTGAATGTATAATGTGCAAAGTGAAGTTTAATTGTGTGTTACAGCATTAAAAGTAGACAAAAACTGCTTTCCTGACCTGATGTTTAGAATTCTTGTATTTATCCTTACAGATCAATTAATTTGTTTTCATAACTTTTGCTTCTAAATACTAAGAAAAAAGATTCAGGCTGCTGCTTACAAGCACTTTCCCACAAATACCACAATGTAGATGTTCTACCCAATAGTATAACACACGAATTGGTTATAGTTTTTACTATATTTTCTCTTAACATTGTGTTTTGATAGCATAAGTGTTGTGTGAAAATTTCGATCAGAATGCTATACAAAGATCTAGTGAAGGGCTGGGTGCGGTGGCTCATGCCTGGAATCTCAGCACTTTGGGAGGCCCAAGCGAGACCATCCCTTGAGCCCAGGAGTTTGACGTGGCAGTGAGCTATGGTGGTGCCACTGCACTCTAGCCTGGGCAACAGAGCAAGACCCTGTCTCAAGGAAGGAGGAAGGAAGGAAGGAAGGAAGGAAGGGAGGGAGGGAGGGAGGGAGGGAGGGAGGGAGGGAAGAAAGAAAGGAAGAAAGAAAAAGGAAGAAAGAAAGAAGAAAGAAAAGAAAAAGAAAGAAAGAGAAAGAAGAGAAAGAAAAGAAAAAGGAAGAAGGAAAGAGATCTAATGAAGCTCTTAAGAGAAAGTGAAAGAATTATCAGGTTCAAAATTCTTATCAACTTCTGGATTTCAACATTAGTGTTCCCTTAGGAGCACTGTCTTTGCTGCCTTTAACCAGTGGTCCATTCCATGCAGCAAGAAGAGACTAAATGGAACACCAAGTGACAAAGAATAGGAACAATTTAAGATTGTATAATAGTCAATACCAATGCTGTGTGGTGTTCCACTGAATCAGACAAACAGATCAAACATATAAACTACAAGAACATTCCAGAAACCATCATTCTGAGCAAACTATCGCAAGGATAGAAAACCAAACACTGCATGTTCTCACTCATAGGTGGGAACTGAACAATGAGAACACTTGGACACAGGATGGGGAACATCACACACTGGAGCCTGTTGTGGGGTGGGGGGAGGGGGGAGGGATAACATTGGGAGATATACCTAATGCAAATGACAAGTTAATGGGTGCAGCACACCAACATGGCACATGTATACATATGTAACAAACTGGCATGTTGTGCACATGTACCCTAGAACTTAAAGTATAATAATAATAAAAAAGAACATTCCTCTTGTCTCCACCAAGTCCGATGCTGTTCACTCAATGCTCACTCAGAGCTCTGTTTTATATGTTAAGGGAAATACTAGACACATACAACAGCATGGATAAATATTTAACTGAATCTAAAGGGGCTGGAAACAAAAAGGCATAAGCTGTAATGATTGAACTTATATAAAATTCTGGAATAGGTAGAACTAAACTATGGCGACAGAAAACAGATGGGTGGGTGCTTCTTGAAGGTGGGAGATGGATTGGGATGGAGCACAAGGGTACTTTCTGGAATATTTAATAGGCATTTGTCAAAAGTAGTTGAATAGAACACTTATGATCTGAGCATTTCACTGTATATATGTACACCTCAAAAAACTGAAATATATAAAAAAAAAAAAAAAAAGAAGAAGAAAAGGCAACCAACCAGTGAGTCTGGAAGATCATTTTCTTTCAAACAGTTTTTCAGTGGTTTCTCTCCATCTTCCCTAACACGTTTTCAGTCTTTTTCATTTTAGCCATTCTGGTGGGTGTGTAATGGTATCTTATTGTGGTTTTGGTTTGCATTTTCCCAAAGACTAATGAGGTTTAACACGTTTTCATATGTTTATAGGCCTTTTGGATATATCTTTTTGAAGTGTCTGTCCATTTTTCTTTTTTTTTCTTTTTTTTTTTTTTTTTGTTGCTGTTGTTGTGTTTTTTTTTGAGACAGAGTCTCACTCTGTCATCTAGGCTGGAGTGCAGTGGTGCGATCTTGGCTGACTGCAACCTCTGCCTCCCAGGTTCAAGAGATTCTCCTGCCTCAGCCTCCAGAGTAGCTGGGTTTATAGGTGCCCACCACCAGGCCCGGCTAATTTTTAAAAATATTTTTAGTAGAGATGGGGTTTCGCCATGTTGTCCAGGCTGGTCTCTAACTCCTGACCTCAAGTGATCTGCTCACCTCGGCCTCCCGAAGTGCTGGGAATACAGGCGTGAGCCACCACAGCCAGCCTCTGTCCATTTTTCTACTGTATATATATATTTACACATACACACACACACACACACACACATCTTCTCCCACTCTGTAGGTTGCCTTTTCACTCTGAATGGTGTCTTTTGAATAGATATTTTTAGTTTTAATATAGTTCAATTTATACATTTTTCCTTTATGATTAGTATTTTGTGTCCTGTTATAAACTTTTTGACTACTTCAAGGTTGCAAAGATGTTCTCTTATGTTTTCTTATTAACTTTTAAAATACAGACTGACAATCCAAATGAAATGTATTTTTGTTTATGATGTAAGGAGGGTCCAAATACAATTTTTTTTGCATGGAGAGACACAAATGACCTACCACTATTTTGTGAAAATATAATCTTTTCTCCATTGGTCCATGTTCTGGAAGACTTGTAAAAAATGAATTTTACATTTATGTCTATATATCTATTTACATAAATGGTTAAAAACTCTACACATAATTCTAATATTCTTCTATTTTCATGCAATACTGTTGACACATACAGCCTATTAATGGCTGCATATAATGCATATATGTGCATTATATAGATGTACTGTAATAATTTAATTAATTCTCTTAAAGTAGACATTTAGAGTATTTCCATTTGGCTATGTTATTGAGATGCTGAAATGAACATTTTGTCCAAAGTGAGTGCCAGCTGTTTAATTATCTCCTAAGGATAAACTGCGAGGAGGAGGAATTGCTGGGTTAAAATGCATGTCCTCTTTTTTTCCCGAGACGGAGTCTCGCACTGTCGCCCGGGCTGGTGTGCAGTGGTGAGATCTCGGCTCGCTCCAACCTCCGCCTCCCGGGTTCAAGCGATTCTCCTGCCTCAGCCTCCCAAGTAGCTAGGATTACAGGCGCCCGCCACCACGCCTGGCTAATTTTTTGCATTATTAGTAGAGACGGGGTTTCACTATGTTGGTCAGGCTGGTCTCGGACTCTTGACCTCGTGATCCGCTCGCCTCGGCCTCTCAAAATGCTGGGATTACAGGCGTGAGCCACTGCGCCCAGCCAAAGTGCATGTCTCTTTTCAACGTTTGCCTTCTGGGCTAGGCGGCTTGGCTCATGCCTGTAATCCCAGCACTTTGGGTGGCCGAGACCAACGGATCGCTTGAGTCCAGGAGTTCCAGACCAGCCTAAGATAGGGAGATGCCATCTCTCTAGGAGGATCGCGTGAGCCCGGGGAAGTTGAGGCTGCAGTGAGCCGAGATCGAGCCACTGCACACCAGCCTGGGTGAGGGTAAGACCTTGTTTCAGTAAACAAACAAATAAATAAGTTTGCCTTCCGTAAGGTTTCTAATAACGTTTTTCTTCCATCCACAGATGTAAACCTGTTTCCCCATAGTCACACCAACAGTGGTCATTACCAAGGTTTTACATCTTTGCTAAACCGAGTAAAAAGAAAACTTGCTGTTTTCATTTCCATTCTTGTCTAATAATAGTTTAAACAGTTTTGTATATCCTTAGTGGCTATTTGTTTGACTTTTTTGTTTTTTGGGAGGCCTGTTCTAATATTTGCTCATTTTCCTTCTGGGGTTGTTGGCCTTTTTCTTATTGGCTTATTAAGCAACATAATTAATATATATTATGTCATGTATATATAAACAATCTTATCTTGCAGTTCCCTAGTTTGGCTTTTAACCTATCGTCTTTTGAGCTGCAGTTTCAACCCAGTCTGTACAGGAAGTAACAACTGTCCAGAAGAGTCTGAAAGCCCTTGGGGCCAGCAGCCAGTGAGCGGAACCAGCACGTCCTGACAGACAGGTTTGCCCCGTCCCTTCCCTCCCTCCCCCTCCCCCTCCCCCTCCCCCTCCCCCTCCCCTTCGCCTCCCTGTCCCTCTCCCTTTCACCCCTCTTCGGGACGGAGCCAAAGAATGCTCCGCCTGCGCGCGCCGCTTCCGTTGCCGTAGTGGCCGGGGGCGGGAGGCTGGCGCCTCCCAGCTTCTGTACTCCGCGAAGCAAAACCTAGGGAGCTGAGGCCTAGGCGAGGCGAGAGTCGCCGGCGTGCGTAACGTTGGCGCACGTGACTCCGGCCCGGCCTACAGGGCGCGTGCGCAGTGGGACTTGAGTGCCTCCTGGTCCCTGTCTGCCGGCATTCGCGGCTGCGGGGCCCGGAGGTGGGACTGGCTTCCCGGTGCCGCGAGGGCGGGTCCGGACAGCCTTCCCCCCAGTCCGGCGCACCATCTCCCTGCCTTGTGGCTGGAGGCGCCGCGGACCCAAAGGGAGGGACCATCCCGGGAAGCAGCCCCGAGAGCGGAAGTGCAGAATGGCTTCCTCGAGAGAGTAAAGTGCAGCCTCTCCAGACACTGGGGCCCCAGTGGGCGTGGGCGAAGGTAATCCAGGCCTGGGTACGATTCCGGGCCCTCCTTCGACTTCCCAGCGGGTGAGCCAGGGGCTGGGACTGAGTTTCCTCCAGGTCAGGGACCGGGCCTCTGGAGTGGGGTTTGGGACTTACTTCACTAGATGAAATGAGATATGGGGTGCCCGGCCCAAAGTCAGCCCTGGATACTCACTGGCCGTTGTTTTCACAGTTGCTGGTAGGAGGAGTTGGCGGAAGCACTTGGAACTCCTTTATAAGTGTCAGCTGTGAGGTAAAAACTGTTGATGAGATCTTGTGGGTTTTGTTTTGGGTTCACTAATTTGGGCGGGGGCTACATAACTGCCTACTTGAGTTTGCAATATGAGAATGGTAATAGCGACCCACTTAGCAGAATTATGATGTCACAAAGCTCAAAGGACTGTTTAATGAAAGGCTCAGAGGATCATATACTGGAAAATTTTTCCACACACGCTGTAAGCCACATGCTTTTTTTTTTTTTTTAAGTCATGCATTTAAGTGCTGGAGTGAAGTTGAGGTGCACTATTAATGACTCATATTCAGAACCTGAAGAGAGAGATCCCTTTTGTGCTAAGTATGATATCCACTCATTTATTCAGTAATACTGAGTGCTTACTGTGTACCAGGCAATGTCCAACTTCTTGGAATGGTCTATGTGTAAACAAAACAAAGATCTCTGTCCTGTGGAGCTTACATTCTAGTTTGGGGAAGACAAATAATAAACAGTAAACAAAAAGAAGGAAGTTATAGGTTGGAAGTACATGAGTACCATAGGAAAAAAATACAGCGAGGTAAGAGGCATGGGGAATGCAAGATGCAATCTTAGGTAGGCTTCACTGAGAAAATGACATTTGAGCAAATATTGGAAGGAGGTGAAGGAGTTAGCTGTGCTGACAGCTGGGGAAAGAGCATTCCAGGCAGAGGGACCACCAATGCAGAAAGACTTTTGTCTTGGAATGTGCTTGGTGTCTTCAGTGAACAGCAGAAAGGCCTGTTTGGCTGGAGTAGTGAGTAAGGGAGTAGTAATAAAAATTAGGTGGCAACACAGCAAAAGTATAGTCAGAACGGTGGAGTGTCTGAATCACTTAAGTTGTCCTCATGTGAAGGTAATTTCCTATTAGCTTAGGTAAGGTTTCACAGCTTAACTACAGCCGTTAATTAGTATGTGAAGTTAATGATTAAAATTAGACTTTTTCCGAAATAGAGTATAGATGAGATCTAAACATGGCTGTAGTTTCCAGCAAGCACAATGCGAATTAAGACAGAGGAGCTTGTTGAAAAAAACTTTTATATGCCCTTATTTTAAGATTTTAGTGAATGTGGAAACACCTCAGTTTTGTCTTCCTTTAGAAATTTGTCTAAATATAGCTCTACCAGTAAAAAAGAAACAAACAAAAAACAGGCATAGTGGCTGACACCTGTAATCCCAGCACCTTGGAAGGCCGAGTTGGAGGGATTGCTTGAGCCCAGGATTTTGAGACCAGCCTGGGCAACAGAGCAAGACCCCATCTCCACAATTTTTTTTTTAACTAACTGGGTGTGGTGGTGCACGTCTGTAGTCCCAACTCCTTTGGAGGCTGAGGTGGGAGGATCCTTTGAGCCTGGGAAGAGGTCAAGGCTGCAGGGAGCTATGACCTGTGCCACTGCACTCCAGCCTGGGTACCAGAGTGAGACCCTGTCTCAAAAAAAAACTTTTTTTTAATATAAATATACCGTGGCAAACAAATGACTAAGAAGACACCTGTTACTTCAAGGAAATTACAAACTGGTAGAGTAGACTTGCAAATAATTTAAACAAAATAAGAAAGAATGAAAAAAGTGTGCTAAAAGAACAGTACAAAGTAAATGCTAAAAGAAACATCATCTGAATATTATTGTATGTATTACAGCAGTAGTTCCCTTTGTTTCTCATTTTGTCCTTGAACATCTGCTTTTCTGGAGTGATGATTTGATTGCCAATTTTTTCATATTTAACAAATTCAGATTTTTTTGAAAATCATTTGTAGAATGCATTGTGTATGCTAAATAAGTGCAGAATTTGTGAACTAAAGCATCTATTGATTAACATTGCACTAACAGGTACCATGTAATATTCATTGCTCTCCCTGCTGGAATTTGTAACTTTTCCAAAACTATGCCATTAAGCCATACTTCTCATATCCTTTTTCCTCTTCAGAAGGAAGAGGTTTCTTTGTTTCTGGTTTCTTTGGCAGTGTTGACTGCCAGAGTATGTAGAGTGACTATTTGTAATTTGTATATTCAATATGTATATTTCTTCAGTATAAAATTCTGCTATCCAAGTGTTAAGTTTTAGTGGCTAGAAGAAATAATGATATGTTATGGTGGAAGTGTGGAGCTGTCTGAACCATATGAAAGCCAGGAATCTATAGTTTGAGACATACCGGGTAAACAGTTGGTCACTTTCAGCATCAAGCAGAAAAAGGCTAACCACTCAAGTACAGCACAGTTTACAAGCAGTATGATGATGAACGTTAGTTGATGACCTGTATAGGTGATTGGTACCACCAAAGTGCCTGTCTTAGAGAATGAAATCTGGACAGAGGATGTATTCAACAATCCTACTAGTGAGGTAAGTGGCTTGTGGCAGGATCAGTACTGGGTTCAGGTACATGATCCTCTCCCTGAAGGAGGTAAAGTATGACGGGAACTAAAAAAAAAAAAAACGAAAAGTCACATGTTAGAGCTTGAACAAAGGTCATGTCCAGGGATGAATCTCTAAGGATGGATTTGTTTGAGGTCATGTAGGTGTTGTCACAGTCATTGGTAGGGAAGAACTTTGGGGAAGAGTTAGATGGGTTACTATGATAATCAGAGCTGTCATTCACTGATGATTATGCTTTGTTATATGTTTTTTATATGCTAGTATGTTTTATCTTCTTCTTAAAAAATGATAGGCTTTTTTTTTTAATGAGAAGAAACCAAATCCAAGAGATGGAATTTGCCCAAGGGTGCTTATTAAGCCATAATTAGCAGAGCTGGAATTTGAACCCAGGTCTTGGATATCAAAGCCTTTTTCATTATTCCAGATTACTTGGTTAAATAACAGAGTATGCTGACTTTAGCCTTCCCATTTTATGGAGTTTGTCATGAGTGTGATCGTATTTGCTGCTCATGAGATTTCGCTCACTAATAAATTTGATTCATTTAATTATGTGTTTTCTCTTCCTAGATTTTAATTTGATTTGAAAATGAGTAAGTGCAGAAAGACACCAGTTCAGCAGCTAGCAAGTCCCGCGTCATTCAGCCCAGATATTCTTGCTGACATTTTTGAACTCTTTGCCAAGAACTTTTCTTATGGCAAGCCACTTAATAATGAGTGGCAGTTACCAGATCCCAGTGAGATTTTCACCTGTGACCACACTGAATTTAATGCATTTCTTGATTTGAAGAACTCCCTAAATGAAGTAAAAAACCTACTGAGTGATAAGAAACTGGATGAGTGGCATGAGCACACTGCTTTCACTAATAAAGCGGGGAAAATCATTTCTCATGTTAGAAAATCTGTGAATGCTGAACTTTGTACTCAAGCATGGTGTAAGTTCCATGAGATTTTGTGCAGCTTTCCACTTATTCCACAGGAAGCTTTTCAGAATGGAAAACTGAATTCTCTACACCTTTGTGAAGCTCCAGGAGCTTTTATAGCTAGTCTCAACCACTACTTAAAATCCCATCGGTTTCCTTGTCATTGGAGTTGGGTAGCGAATACTCTGAATCCATACCATGAAGCAAATGACGACCTCATGATGATTATGGATGACCGGCTTATTGCAAATACCTTGCACTGGTGGTACTTTGGTCCAGATAACACTGGTGATATCATGACCCTGAAATTCTTGACTGGACTTCAGAATTTCATAAGCAGCATGGCTACTGTTCACTTGGTCACTGCAGATGGGAGTTTTGATTGCCAAGGAAACCCAGGTGAACAAGAAGCTTTAGTTTCTTCTTTGCATTACTGTGAAGTTGTCACTGCTCTGACCACTCTTGGAAACGGTGGCTCTTTTGTTCTAAAGATGTTTACTATGTTTGAACATTGTTCCATAAACTTGATGTACCTGCTAAACTGTTGTTTTGACCAAGTCCATGTTTTCAAACCTGCTACTAGCAAGGCAGGAAACTCCGAAGTCTATGTGGTTTGCCTCCACTATAAGGGGAGAGAGGCCATCCATCCTCTGTTATCTAAGATGACCTTGAATTTTGGGACTGAAATGAAAAGGAAAGCCCTTTTTCCCCATCATGTGATTCCTGATTCTTTTCTTAAGAGACATGAAGAATGTTGTGTGTTCTTTCATAAATATCAGCTAGAGACTATTTCTGAAAACATTCGTCTATTTGAGTGCATGGGAAAGGCGGAACAAGAAAAGCTGAATAATTTAAGGGATTGTGCTATACAATATTTTATGCAAAAATTTCAACTGAAACATCTTTCCAGAAATAATTGGCTAGTAAAAAAATCTAGTATTGGTTGTAGTACAAATACAAAATGGTTTGGGCAGAGGAACAAATATTTTAAAACTTATAATGAAAGGAAGATGCTAGAAGCCCTTTCATGGAAAGATAAAGTAGCCAAAGGATACTTTAATAGTTGGGCTGAAGAACATGGTGTATATCATCCTGGGCAGAGTTCTATTTTAGAAGGAACAGCTTCCAATCTTGAGTGTCACTTATGGCATATTTTGGAGGGAAAGAAACTGCCAAAGGTAAAATGTTCTCCTTTTTGCAATGGTGAAATTTTAAAAACTCTTAATGAAGCAATTGAAAAGTCATTAGGAGGAGCTTTTAATTTGGATTCCAAGTTTAGGCCAAAACAGCAGTATTCTTGTTCTTGTCATGTTTTTTCTGAAGAACTGATATTTTCCGAGTTGTGTAGCCTTACTGAGTGCCTTCAGGATGAGCAGGTTGTAGTACCCAGCAATCAAATAAAGTGCCTGCTGGTGGGCTTTTCGACTCTCCGTAATATCAAAATGCATATACCGTTGGAAGTTCGACTCCTAGAATCAGCTGAACTCAAAACTTTTAGCTGTTCATTGCTTCATGATGGAGATCCAACTTACCAGCGTTTATTTTTGGACTGCCTTCTACATTCATTGCGGGAGCTTCATACAGGAGATGTTATGATTTTGCCTGTACTTTCTTGCTTCACAAGATTTATGGCTGGTTTGATCTTTGTACTCCACAGTTGTTTTAGATTCATCACTTTTGTTTGTCCCACATCCTCTGATCCCCTGAGGACCTGCGCAGTCCTGCTATGTGTTGGTTATCAGGACCTTCCAAATCCAGTTTTCCGATATTTGCAGAGTGTGAATGAATTGTTGAGCACTTTGCTCAACTCTGACTCACCCCAGCAGGTTTTACAGTTTGTGCCAATGGAGGTACTCCTTAAGGGGGCCCTGCTTGATTTTTTGTGGGATTTGAATGCTGCCATTGCTAAAAGGCATTTGCATTTCATTATTCAAAGAGAGAGAGAAGAAATTATCAACAGCCTTCAGTTACAAAACTGAACATATGCTTTCTGAGATTCAACTTTATGATTTCTTATAATTTGCCCAGTATTTGCATCCTGTTGCTCTATTAATTTAAAAACCTTTTATTTTGGGGAAAGGCCAACATTTGCATCATTCAAAGTCTCATTAATTCTGGAAAACCATCCATTCTGATCTCTAGGGTATATACACCCACAGGCATAGAGCTCTTCCACGTGGTGGAATCTATGCAATGATAGATATTCACACTCTAAATATGAGGTGTGTGTATGTGTATGGGTGGCCACAGCCATGCTTACCTATGCCATTTAGTTGGTCTTACTTAATCTGCTTAAGATTTGCATCTGTGTACCTTTGTTCAGATTAGTTTTTTTTTTCCAGCCGATTTCCTCTTAGTGGCTAATGCTGTTAGTGAATTTTCCAACTAATTTCCTCTCATTGGTTAATGTTGTTAATGAATTGAGAGAGGTAATTGAGGAAAGGAAATGAGTAAATCACTGTTCAGCAACACTGATTTCCGTTAACACATCAGTTATGAATTTCAGGGAATTCATCTCGCCAGATTCTTGATAACATGCCATTCATTGCCCTTAGGTGATTGACCCTATTTTCTTACATGGCTCAAATAAAACTAGTATGCTGTTGTATGAATCTTTTACTGACCACACCATCCAACTATAAAAATATAACGGGACAGCTTTAAACCAAAGATCATGTTTAGAACAATGAAAAATTATTTGTTGTATCTAATACACGCCTGTATTGTGAAAAGCTTCATTTAGCAATGATGTAATAATTTTTAACTTCCAGGAAATAATCTGTGAATGGAAAGATTTTTTAAGATTTTGAGATAGTGTTTAGTCTCATGTTGGGAACACATGAATGTGATGAACATAGTGAATACTAAAGAAAACGCTTCAGACTTTCAGAATGATGGTTCAGAATTTAAAATTTTTAATCTTTTCTAATTTCTTTTTTTCAGTGTGAAAATAGCACTTTACCAAAAGATTAGCCATGAAATGGTTATTTTGCCAGTTACATTTGATTTCTTTTGTATCTGCAATGTAATGAGTTATTTTATTTCTTCTGTATTTGCAGTGTAATGAGTTTTTGTGGCAAAGTGTATTAAGCAATTTTTCATTATCTTGAAGTTCCACAAAGTGGAGAATATTTATATTCTCACATGCATTTTAGGCACTTTTGATATGTGAAAATAGATGTATTTTCTGATGCATTTGGTTAATAAATATTAATCTGAACATTTTCATGTTCTTTGCTATTTTGAATTCCATTATAGATTCATGAATAAAGTCATTACTAGAGAGATTTTGTGTTCATCTTTTTTAAATGGAATTATGGGAGAAGTTAAAAATATAAGTTGGAAACAGACATTTTTAAAGGGAGTTTTGAATGATAGTTAATGTTCTTTCATTTTCTCTGATTTGCATTCATTAAAATTTAGTCCTTAATACTGTAATACTTATGGAAGGCCTACTTCAGGAAAGAAATTGAATACTTAAGGGGGATTGGAAGAGGAGTGTGTGGAGGCCTGGAAGTAGATTTTTGAAAGAAATCTGATTTCCTACTGGTGACTCTATGGAAGCAATTCCAGTTGTATGATGATGGAAGTCTGACAGAAGGTTGATTACCAGGAGGAAAAAAAAAAAACACTCTTGGAAAACCATTTTGCACTTAATAGTCTTTATGCCTTGCTAAGTGGGATTCAATATACTAATAATGCAGCTTATTTTTTACTTATTTTAACTATTTGATAAGAATGAAGTTGAAGGCATGGGTCCAGATTCTAGCATTATTACTGTCTTTAAGCCCTTCAAATAAGTATTGAATGCTTAGTGTTTTGTTGACACTAATCTGTACTGGAATATATAACACTGAAGTATTCTCAAATGTATTTTGCTTTTTAACGTGGGTTTTGGAATCAATTGCTCATCTGATTCATTGGATTCAAATTGCTTTAGAGGTTAGACATGACTTGAGGAAGGTTCAGATTGAACTGGATATATTAATAGATGACAGGTACTAATGATTTATATGAGTTTCTCTTTAAGAGAAAGGAGAGGAAAAATGCTATTCAAAAGATGAATGGAAAAGTAGAAGAAGACAGGAAGAGGTGAGAGTATGCATGTTTTACCAAGGTAGACTGTTCTTAAAAACTTTTTTCCACAGGTTTTGAGATTTTTAATTTGTAATATCTATTAAAAAACAAACATCAAATTGTTTCCTTTGTAATCTGTTTAATTTGAACAAAACATACACTTAGTGTAAGTATTATACTCTTAAAATGATGACAAATTATTATATCGAGATGGGACAGATATGCAAGACTTGGCTGCAAATTTGTTTACTACATAGTTGACACTGAAAAGAGAGACTCAATTATTTTATAATAGGCTTCCCACACCTTTAAAAAAAAAGCTGGATAAAACATTTCGGACTGATCTTAGGAGCAGAACTCAATATAAAGCAAAAATTTCAATATGGAACAAAATATGAATATTTCAAATTCAATATTGAAATGGAAAATGAATTTCCATTTCAATGGTAAGCATTTTTTAGGGTTGGCCTAATGGGCCAAGTAGCAAGTAAACTCAAAGCTTGATACTACGTATGGTAACTCATAGTATGTAGGTATGTTTTAGGACATGTAATTAAAAGAATAATGCTCAATAGATGTATATGGGTTATTATTTTGAGCCTCTAATGCATTTTTTAGTTTATATAAAATTGCAGGCCTTGAATAATGAGTTCTCCCCTGCCCCCTTATTCTTTTATTGTCTGTTTAATATTTGCTTTTTCTTTGTTGGCCAAAACAGAAATGCAAATAAGTTATTTTTGATAACTATAAGTTTATACTGGAATGATTTGGGAGGAGGTGAAGCTTCTTTATGACCACAGATACATGAAAGTGCATTATTAGTGAAAAGATTTAAAAATTATCTGTCATTAAGCATAGTTAGCATTTAATTTCACTCAACCCAGCCTGTGGGTGATAGTGTGGCTGAGCGGTCTAATTTCACTCAACTGAAAATTTTAGTCCAATCTGCTTGTTTCACATATAGGTTGTGTACTCATGTACAAATTGTATCCATGATAATATTTCTCTGAATTTTTTGAGATCTTGATCTTTGTGTCTTTTCAGAGCCATATCAACTAGGTGTGATCATTCTGTGTTCATACCAAGTGCAGCACATCAGTTTAGCTTATTATGGGACATGTAGTATTAATATTATGGCCATATTTTAATTTATGGCTTGGATTGTTGTGATTTAAGGAAAACGTTTGTAAAGATTTTTCTTTAAACTATTTGTGTTCATTACCTTGAAATATTATACTGATCTTTGCTGATAAACATATTTTATGTGTTTCTGCATTTTTTTGCTATTTAAGATTGTGCTTCAACACCAAATTATTTTACTGGGCAAGACAGATGTGTTTTTTCTGTCTACTTTTGAGAGTTTCTATTTTGTTTCCATTGAATCCCAGGATTCAAAAATCTGTATCTATAATAGAATAGCTGGGAAAATTGAAAACAGAAATATTTTTGAGTGGATTTCTTTTTAGTAGGGTAAACAACATGCCTGCAACTACAGTAATGTTAATCTTTGTGGAGCTATTGCACTTAACTTGCTTGCATCATTCAGATTCAGCATTACTTTGAGTGATCTTACGTTGTTATGTCTTTTTTCATTTTCTTTTTTTTAGGATTATAAATTCAAGCACGTGCTCATTGTGAATAAGTATATGATATGTACTTATTTTGTATGCTATATCATCAATATAGGTTTCTACAGAATGCTATTTGATTTTGTTTTTATTATAGAAAACCTTCAGACATACACAAAATTAAAATGATGTAACAACCCCCACCCTCACCCCATGTACCTGCACCCAGTTTTCGTAACTATCAGCATTTTACTGAACTTGTTTCACCCTCCACTTTTTTTCTTGGAGTATTTTAAATTCATGAAATACATACCTCTAAATACATACAGACATACAAATACATATCTTTCACAGTTAAGCAATTTACCACACCTAACAATATCACCCAATACCCAGTCCATGTTTAATACCCATTTTCAATATCACCCAATGCCTGTTTTCCAGGTTGTCTCAGAAATACCTTTTTATTGTTGTTGTTTCCTTTCAGATAAGGAGCCAAATAAGGCTTCTTCTGTTTATTTGATGTTTCTGAGGTCTCTCTTAATCGATTTAGTCCCTGTCCCCGAGCCCAGCCCCAACATTTTGTTGGCCATGCCATTTAAATGGCTGAAGAACTGGTTATTCATCCTGTAACCTTTTTTATAATCTGAATTTGGCTGATTAGTTATTTGTGATTACTTTTTAATTGCATTTCTATGCCACAGATTTCCCATAGATTGGTAGGTAGATTTGCAGAATTGATTGCTTTTTGCAAGAATAGTTCGTGAGGGTGGTGTGTACTTTCTTTTCATCACTTCACAAGCACAAAATGGCTAGCTGCTTCCCTCAGTTATATTAAGGTTAATCAGTTTAGATATTGTCAACCTGATCCATCAATTAAATTTTCTATCTTTCACTTAATAGGTTTAGCATCCACTGAATATTGATACTAGCTCTATTTATTAAGGGTTGCAAGCAGTGTTTTCCTAACCAGGTTCCTTCTGTATTAACTGAACTTTAATGAAGATGAATTCATCAACTATTTTTTTTCTGAAGTAGTTTAGGAAAAGCTGGACAGATGTTTAATTTCTTTAACCTTTATCAATTTTCAGAAAGATAAGTTTGTGTCTTACCAACCTTGAAAGGTGACCAATGAGATTTCGTTGTTGTGGTTGTGGTTGTTTTTAAACTCTCTAGGAACTCATGGTTGGTTGTATACTGGATACATTTTAATCAATTATGACTATTCTTACTTGATGTTCAAATTACTCAAATTTGGCTTGGGTGGGTAGGGGAAGGGCTCCTTCATGTTGATGCCTGTGTCATTTTTTAAAATGTAATTCAACAGTCTGATAGCTTTCACACATTCTGGCATAATATGCACCTGTTTCATTGTGTATATTTTCTTCCCAGGGCTCACATCCCCCTGATTTTAGTGGCTATAGTGCAGTGGATCTCAAAATGTTGGGCCTCAAAATTTAGTCTCTCAATAATTATCAAGGAACCCAAAGAGCTTTTGTTTGAGAGTTATATCTGTTGATATAATTCATGTCAGATTAATAACTGAGACAAATTTTATTAATGTTAATATAACAATGATAAAACTATTGCATGTCATAATTTTTTATGAAAAATATCTTTCAAAACAAAATGTAGTGAGAAATGTGATATTTACATTCTTGTGAATCATTTTTGTCTTTATAATAGGAGACAGCTGGATTCTCATCTGATTCTACAATCTGTCGGAATACATTGTTTTGGTTGAAATATTTAAGAAAATATGGCCTCATATAGATATGAAGTTGGGAAAGGGAGGAGTATTTTAATAACCTTTAAGGTAATTATGGATTTTTTTGATGTTACATCAAAATTTGGCAGGTAATAGTTTCTTAAACATTGGTTGCAATGAAGAATCAAGCTATATTATGAATTTTTTTGACTCTTACACTAAAATCCATTGATCTGTCTTGTACTTTGAATGGATCATTTACCCATATGTGGTTTTTTTAACACCATGAATTTGTCATTTGAAAAATATTGGTTCACTGAGTTATGCAGATCATGCAAATGTTGACACATTTGATTATACATTATGCAAAAAGTTACATTTTAAAACATCACCACTGATCTCATCAAACAAATCTAAGTATTGGGAAGCTGTCAAGCTCAGAGTGATGGACACATGTTTTATAAAATTCTAATTTTTCCTTGAATGCTCAAATTTTATCATGTCAAAAAACACTGACAGTTGTTTTCCTTGAAGCGTTGCTCACTTTATTCATTTTTGAGAAAATATCTGCCAAATACTCGTCTCAATAACTATCGTTTGCCAGTTTTTCTTTCCAGTAAAAATGGTATTTCATGAAAAATGCACCATTTGACTTTGCAACTCAGTTACACAAATGCTTTTCCTGGAGGCACTCGTTCTACTTTGGGGTGCAGCAAGAGCTTTATGTGTACACAACTTTCCATTTCTTCAATATTATTAAAGTCATGTACTCTTAAGAGCAAGACTTAATACAATTAATATTTTTTGCTACTTCATCAAGGACATTCTTAAGTAAAAATGGCTCCCTCTGACCCCCATTATGAGCATGTATGATGAAGAATACAATGCCTACTAGTATAGTTTGGTGCCCTGCCTTGATTTGTGCTAAGGCAACAGCAGTTTTGCTCACCACTGCTTTGCACCATCAGTGCAACTACTGACATTGTGAAAAGATGCATAATGTCTTAGTTTCAATGCAGGCAAACCCCAAAATTGGGGCTCAGCCCAGGAGGGTTCTTGGCTTCACACAGGAAATAATTCATGCGTGAACCAACAGAGCAAAGCCAAAGCAAGTTTATTCGAACAACAGACAGCAGCAGCAGCCCTGTGGATTGCTGGCTAGCAGTATATATGGCTATTCCTTGACTATATGCTACGTAAGGGGCAGTTTATTCATGACTTTTCTGGAAAAGAGCTGGGGAGTTCCTGGAACCAAGGATTCCTCCCCTTTTAAACCACATAAGGTAACTTCTAGGGGTTGCCATGGCATTTGTAATCTGTCAAGCCACTGGTAGGAGTGTCTTTTAGCATGCAAATTAATTATAATTAGCATATAATGAGCAATGAGAGCAACTAGAGGTTGCTGTAGTCACCATCTTGGTTTTCGCTGGTTTCTTTGCTGAGTTGGGTGCTGGGAACACAAGTCCTGCTGATCTCCTGTCTCAGTTTTACCATGAAAATAGTTTTTGATCTCACAGACTCTTGAAAAGGTCCATGGGCCACACTTTTAGAACTGTTACTCTAGTGTTTCCCCATTAGGTGCTGATTTTTTAGTTTACTATTTTTATTAAGGAGGTTTTCCTAGTTTTTGGAGTTTTTAAAAAACATAAATGTTTGTTTAAATGTTTCCATTTTTTAAATCAGTGGATATGAACATATTCTCTTTAATTCTGTTAATATAATTAATTGTTTTAATTACATTATTTCTTTGATTGCCTTGTTTAGGGACTGCTGTTAATGTATGTTGTATATTAGCACCTGTCTTCTGTATCTATTACTTTCTCTTAAATTATTTTTTATCTTTTTATTTTTGTTTGATTTTTAATTTCCTTTTTCTATTTCTGTTACTGTTTTCCATTATGTATGTTAGCTCTTATGTTTAACATTCATATGTGAAGTAATTGGTTTCTTCTTCTTTCCTTACTGATGAAAGAAAAACTTCAGCTGAATTAAATTTAAAGGCATTTAATTCAGCAATAGACAATTTGTGAATTGGGCAGCCTCCTGAGCCAGAGTAGGCTTAGAGACTCCAGTGCAGCCATGTGGTGGAAGAAGATTTATAGATAGAAAAAGGAAAGTGATATACAGAAAACAGAAGTGAGGTACAGAAACAGCTGGATTGGTTACAGATTGGCATTTGCCTTATTTGAACAGGGTTCAAACAGTTGGCTACATTTGATTGGCCAAAACTCGGTGACTGGCACAAGCGTAAGCTCTGATCTGTTTATACCTCCACTTGTTATAGTTCATGATGTACAGAGAAACCTTTAGGCTGAACTTAAAATATGTAAGGTGGCAGCTTCAGGCTAAACTTGATTTAACATTACTGAGCTCTATTTTTTTTTATCTTCCTGCTGACTAATCATGTAAACTGTATTTTTCTATTTTAATTTATGTTGTTCTTTTAGAGCTTCTGTTTTCTTCTTTAATAGCACTTAAATCCATCTTGTGACTTTTTTTTTTTTTTTTTTGAGATGGGGTCTCGCGCTGTCACCCAGGCTGGAGTGTGGTGGCGCGATCTCGGCTCACTGCAAGCTCCGCCTCCCGGGTTCACATCTTGTGACTTTTCTTAGTGTGCTTCCTTTGGGGTATGTTTCTCATATCATTTTCTGCCTTTTCCTTGCAATATCACTATATATATGTTTAATTACAATCATTTTCTATGGCTCTTGTTTAAATGAGATGCATTTTCCTGAACTTTTAGGAAGTTTTAGGTTCCTGTGTGATAGTGGAAGTGGACCAAAATAGATAGCTTTCCTAGCACAGTATTTTCAGGGCTTTCTCCTTTAGTGTTACTTTAAAAGATTTTAAAATATGCCCTCTGTGTGTAGCCACCTTTATAGTGCTTTTAAAGCTATGTCTTCCCTGGTTCTCTCCCTCACCAGTATCTGAACCTTCTCTTTTCTTTTACCTCGTCTATGTCTGGCTTCTTTCACTCATTATGTTTGTGAGATTAATTTATGTTGTTTCATGTATAGGATTCCATTATATAAATATATAACTTATTTATTCTACTATTGCTTGATACTTGGGATATTTTCAGTTTGGGCTGCTATAAACATTCTTCTATATACCATTTGATGCTCATATGAATGCATTTCTGTTGGATATTGGATTAATTATCTGGGGCTGCTATAACAAAGTACCACAAACTAAGTGACTTAAACAACAGAAATTTATTATCTCACATTTTTGGTGGCCAGAACTCCAGGATGAAGATGTTAGCCAGGCCTGTCCTCACTCTGAAGGCACTAGGGAAGGATCTGTTCCAGGCTTCTCTCCTAGCTTCTGGGACAGCTTTGACTTGCAGTAGCGTAACTCCAGTTTTCACAGGGAATTTTCCCTATGTAAGTGCTTCTGGGTTCAAATTCCCCCTTTTCATAAGGACACCAGCTATCTACATTTGCAACAACTCTATTTCCAAATAAGGTCACATTCTGTGGTACTGGGGTTAGCACTTCAACATACAAATTTTTGGCAGACACAATTTAGACCATGACAGGTATATACCCAGAAGTGGAATTGCTAAATTATCAAGTGGCTAGTAGATACTACCAACAGTTTTCCACAGTAGTATACTAATCTACACTCCAAGTAGTCATGTGTCAGACTTCCAATAGGGTATAGTAATGTTTGGCACCTTATTTAGTTCAGTATAATTTCAAAATGAACAGAAGAATTGCAAGAATAGTACAAGGAACTCCCACGTCTCCTCTATCAAGATTCATCAGTTGTTTACATTTTTCCCTATTTGATTTATCATTCTGTGGGTGCATATAATTTTATTATCTGAACCATTCGAGAGTAACTTGGAGACATTTTGCCCCCTTAAATACCTAGGTATACATTTTCTAAAAACAAGGATATTCTCTTATATAACCACAGTGTAATGATCAAAGTCAGACTATTTAACATTGATGTAGTACTATTATCTAATCCATAGTCCATATTCAAATTTCAATAAGTGTCTAATTAATGTTCTTTATAGCTCCTCTGCCCCTCTGTCCCTAGTCCAGATCTGATCCATGGTCATTCATTGTATTGGTTTTTATGTCTGTTTAGTCTATTTGAATCTGGAAGAATTTCTCAGCCAATCTTTGTCTTCTTGGCCTTGGAATTTTCAAAGTGTTTAGGTCAGTTATTTTATATATTGGCCCTCAATTTGCATTTGCTTTATGTTTCCTCGTATTTTGATTCAAGTTATAGATTTTTGGCAAAACCCCATAAAACTGATAGTATTTCCTTTTCAGTGCATCATGTCAGGAGGCACAGGATGTTGGTTTTTTCCCAATGTTAGTAATGTTAACTTTGATCACTTGGTTAAGATGTTGTCTGCCAAGTTTCTCCATGACATTACTAGCCTTGATTTACTGATTCTTTTTTCTGCCATCTTCAATCTGTTAATTCCATCTAGAAAATTTTTCATCTCAGGTGTTTTAGTTTTCAGTTCTGTGATTCCCATTTGATTCTCTTTTATAGTTTCTATTTTTCTGCTGATATCCTCCATATGTTCATATCATATGATCATATTTTTCTTTAAGTCTTTTAACCTACTTATAATAGTGACTTTAAACTTGTTTTCTACTAATTCTAGCAATTGGGTCCTCTTAGGGTCAGATTTTATTGACTGGTTTTTCTCTTAACTGTGGATTACAATGTACCGTCATATGTCTAGTAATTGTTTTGGCCACCAGACATTGTGGGTGATATGTTGTGATAATTTCTGAATCTCTTGTATTACTCTGAAGAGTGTGGATTTTTGTTCTGATGGGCAGTTAACTTGGCTGGCTCAAATTCCAGACTACTCACATGTTTTGGGCAGCCCCTGAAAGTTCTGCTTAGTTTTTTCAGCCTTTCCAGCTGTTGTCATTTGCTGGCAGCCTCATAGTCTTCTCTGTGTATTTGTAGTTCAGAGGTTGGTCAAAGATTGCGTAGAAAATATAGAGAGATTTTAGAACTCCTATTTCTTTAACCTCCTTCTTATTGGGATTCCCCCCGTTTCAGCTACTATTGGAGACCTCAACTGTATTATCTGACTCAGTAAGCCCATAGGATTACAGATTTCTGCTTGCATTTTAGCCTCCCTATGGGGAACAGACTAGAGAGTATCCTTAAGCAAAAAGCCTTTGAAATACAAATATTCCTCCATCTTAGTTACCTTAGTTTAGAGGTCAACTCCCCTCTAGTTTCTGCCACCTTTTGGTCTGTCTCTCTCCAGTGCCTTCAAATAACTGTTTTCAAAAAAACATTTCATTCAGAGTTATAATTATTATCTGCTAGAGAGAGTTAAACCTATACAAGCTACTCCACTATAAATGCAGAGGTATTTTAGAACAGTATTTGTTTTTAGCTTCTCTATACTTAAATTTAATTACAGTAATGAAAGTGGTTTTATTAATGTAGTTCACACCTGGCCTAGTAGTCACGAATTAGTCACCAAAGAACCTGTGGTATTTGAACATAGTTACTAATGCCTAAGCACGTCAGTTTTAAGAATATGCATATTTCTGCTAATGTTGATTAAATCTCTTATGAAAATTGAGGTGGTACAGAAAACTTGGAGTTCATTTCAGGCTAAATAGGTCTCTGTGTGAAATAGCTGTATTATTGTATTTCTGGTTCCTAAATCAATTAGCAGAATAAGGGGCAAGTAATTATGCTTTTTAATTTCCAAGGTTCCATTAACTAGACTTCCAGAGTTACACTGTACTTTGCTTACTTAAATATTATTTCTGTCCTTGTCCTATTGAAATGGCAGATAATGTTAAAGACTTTTTTTTTTTTTCTGTAAACTCTGCAATTAAGGGGGTGAATTTTGGAGACTCTGATAGTTAGCAGAGGAATTTTAACTAGGATTTCAAAGACCAGGAATGCAATAGTATACAGGTAAGTTGTTTTCTAATCTTTGTATTTTGTTTAAAATTGCTTTGACTCACAAAGAGTTCCAAATTATGTCATCTGTAACATGTATTCAAGAATGTATAATTCAAGATATGCAGGTTTTTTTCCCTCCAACTTTATTTTTTGAAAAATTTGAAACCTACAGAAAACATGCAAGAATTGTACAATGACTGTCTTACATCCTTCATCTGGATTTATCAATTTTCAATATTTGGAATTTATTGGTCAATTAGTTTTTACATAAGGATAGAGGCTTATTAATTTTGTTCCTGCAGAGAAGTGTCAATAATTGCTAAACTGCTCCCCATCACCTTTTAAGATTTGCCTGCCTAATTCCTGTTGCTTAAACCTTGTGACCTTCTTACCTTCCAGCCCACCCTCTCCCTTATCAGTTGATTGGACCAAGTTTGGTCAGCTCTCTGGAATGTAAGACCAAAAGATGATTTCAGCTGATCAGAGTCTTTTGCAATTGGAGAACTTAGAGAGAGGCAGTGAGGAGTGAGTTCTGAAGCTGTAAGTTTAGGATGTGAGAAATCCTGGATAGATCATAACATACAAATTCATTGTGTGTGTGTGTAATTTTTTTTTCATGGCTGGCTTTACTCTATCCTTAAAATTTCATCTCAAATATCATCTTCTCAGAAAGACTTTCACAGATCACCTAAGCCCTAGCCCCATTCACCTTCCCCAACCATCACCATTCTGTAACACAGAATCTGGTTTTGTTTTTCTTAGTTTGAGTCGTTTATTTGTGTACTTATTATTTCTTCTATTCCACTCTCTCTGCTTTTTATTTCATTTTCTTGCCTTTTTGCTCTAGCTAGGACTTCCACTATGATGTTGAGTAGGAGTGCTGTGAGGCAGTACTTCCTTGCCTTAGTCCTAATCTTAGGAAGAAATGGTCTTTTATAATTATGGTATTAGATGTAGGGTTTTTCAGTAAAAGTCCTTCATCCTATTAAGAAAGTTTCCTTCTATTCCTATTTTGTTGAGATTAAAAGAAAACACATGAATGGATGTTGAATTTTGTCAAATGCCTTTTCTGTAACTGTAGAGGTGACCATGTGGTTTTTCTTCTTTAGACTGTTAAGATGGTGAATTATATTGGCTGATTAAAAAACAACCTTTTTTTTGGTAGAGATGAGGGTCTCACTATGTTGTCCAGGCTGGTCTTGAACTCCTGGGCTCAAACCATCCTCCCTGTTGGCTTCCCAAAGCACTGGGATTACAAGCGTGAGGCCACTGCACCCAGCTGTATTGGCTAATTTTTGAATGTTGAATCTGCTTTGTATTCCTGGGATAAACTCCACTTGGCTTATCTCTTTCATATATTTCTGGATTTGATTTGATAAATTTCTTGGAGAATTTTGATATCTATGTTCATAATAAATATTGGTCTGCAGTTTTCTTTTCTTGTAATGTCTGGTTTTGGCATCAGAGTAATGCTGGCCTCATAAAATGCTTTGGGAAGTGTTCTCTTTTCTTCTATTTTCTGGGAAGTGTTCTCTTTTCTTCTATTTTTCTGGAAAAAATTCTGTAGAATTGATTTTTCTTTCTTAAGTGTTTGGTATAATTCTCTAGTGAAACCATCTGGGACTGGAATTTCTGTTTGTTAGAAGGTTTTTAACTACAAATTTCATTTCTTTAATCGATATACAACTGTCCTGGTTGACTTGTTAAGTGAGTTTTGGTAGTTGATATCATTCAGGGAATTGCTCCATATCATGCAAGTTTTTACATTTATGGGCATTGAGTCTTTCATACTATTCTTTTATCTTATTAATATCTGTGGCATCTGTAGTGACATCCTCTTTTTAACTCCTGAAATTCGTAATTTCAGTTTTCTCCTTCTCCTTTTTCTCCTTCCTTCCTTCCTTTTTTTCCTTCCTTCCTTCCTCCCTCCCTCCCTTTCTTTCCTTTCTTTCCGTCCCTCCCTCCCTCCCTCTTTCTTTCCTTCCTTCCTTCCTTTCTCTCTCTCTGTCTCTTTCTTTTTCCTCTTTCTTTCTCCCCCTCCCTCCCTTCCTCCTCCTCCTCTTCCTCCTCCTCCTCCTTCTCCATCTGGCTAGGGTTTTTATCAACTTTATTGATCTCTTTAAAAACACAGGTTTTGGTTTTATTTATTTTTGTGTACTTTGTCCCAATTTTATTGATTTCTGCTGTATTTTAAAATCTCCTTTCTGCTTGTTTTGGATTTTATTTGCTCTTCTTTGTCTAGTTTCTTAGGTCGAAGCTTAGGTGAGTGATTTGAGATCTTTCTTCTTTTTAAATATAAGCACTGTATGCAATGAATTTTCTTCTAAGCATGGTTTTAGCGGCATCTCATGTGTTTAGTTTTCATTTTCAAAATATTTAAAGTGGGTTTCTTGTAGACAGCATACGGTTCCTTTTTAATCTAATCTGAAAATCTTCCTTTCAATTGATGTTTTAACTGCTTGCATTTAATGTGAATACTGATATTGGATTAAAATCTGTCTTGCTACCTGTTTTCTATAAATTCTTTATATTTCATTTTTTTCTGCCTTTTTTGGGTTAAGTGAGCAGTTTTTATTATTTCATCTATTTATCTATAGTATTGACTTACTACCTATAGCTCTTAAAAAGTTTTTAGTAGTTACAATATAACACATTAATCAAAGTCTACCCTCAAGTAATATTATACTCCTATGTGTGCTATGAGGACCTTATACTCATGTTTCCAATCAGTCTGTCTCATTCTTTGTGCTATTTTTGTCTCCTATGTTACTTCTATGTATGCTACAAGGCACAATATAGTTCCACTTTTTTTGCTTAAATTGTTCCTTTTCAGAGCAATTAAAACTGATAAAAGCAAAATTGTTATTTTTATTTATGCCATGTCTAGCATTATTTGTTTCTTCATCTAAATGTATGTATCTGGTATCAAATTTCTCTTTTCTGAAGAATATTCTTTAAAATTTTTATGGTTTAGTACTGATGACAGTTAATTTAATTAGTTTTTTTTTCTAAGAAAGTCTTTTTATCCTTTATTTTTGAAAGATATTTTCACCAGGTAGGGAATTCTGTATTGACACTATTTTTTCTTTTAGTCCTTTGAAAATGTTACTCTATTGTCTTCCGACTTGCATGCTTTCTAATAAGATGGGCTGTTTATTTCTCTGTGTTAATGTGTCTTTTTTACCCCTGCTGGTTTCCTTCAAGACTTTGTTTTGTGTTTTCAGAACCTGAATATGATATGTCTATCTCTGGCTTGGTATTTATCTTGGTTGTTGTTTTGGATCTGTAGTTCAATGTATGTCATTAATGTTGGAAATTCTCAGGCATTATCCCTTCTTATATTTATGCTACCTCATTTCTGTCTCTTTTTTCCTTCTGGAATTCTAGCTATACATCTGTTAGATCATTTTATATTGTCCTATAGTTTCTGGATGCTTGGTGCTGTTTTTATTTTTTACTCTTTATTCTCTTTCAGGTTGGATGATTTCAAGTTCACCAACTCTCCCCTTAGCACTGTCAAGTCTACTGATGAGCCTGTCAGTGACAGTCTTGATGTCACTTGGTCTTGATCTTTTACTGCGTTTTTCACTTTTAACAGCGTCATTAGATTTTTTTCTTACAGTTCTCATTATCTCTACTGAAATTACCCATCTGACAATGCATGTTGTCCAGTTCTTTCACTGGACACTTCAATATATTTGTCATAGCTATTTTAAATTCCTTATCTAATAGTTCCGATATCTGTGTCATATATGAGTCTGGTTCCGTTGATTGCTTTGTCTCTTGGCATTGTGGGGCTTTTTATTTTCGTTTTTGTTTTATATACCACGTACTTTATTTACTTTTTTATTGAACACTGGACAGCACTGATTGAGGTAAATAGTTTTTATGCCTGCAAATGGGGTACATTTTTTCCTTTTCTAGATTTTTTTTTTTTGAGATGGAGTTTCACTCTTGTTGCCCAGGCTGGAGTGAAATGGCACGATCTTGGCTCACTGCAACCGTTGCCTCCTAGGTTCAAGCGATTCTTCTGCCTCAGCCTCCCTAGTAGCTGGGATTACAGGTGCCCACGACCACGCCCAGCTAATTTTTTATATATTTTTTAGTAGAGACAGGGTTTCACTATGTTGGCCAGGCTGGTCTTGAACTCCTGACCTCAGGCTATCCACCCACCTTGGCCTCCCAAAGTGCTAGGATTACAGGCGTGAGCCACCGCGCCTGGCCTCTTTTTCTAGATTTTTAGTGTGGAATGTGAATCAACCTAGACAGGCGTTGAGGTGGCTTTGGGGGTTTGTTGTTCATAGGGCTATCCTCAGTGTACCAGAGACTTCAAATTCTTCTAATAAAATGTTGTATTAGGAGCAGGGCTGGTTTACCCACTGAATAGACTTTTCTCAATGTTGGGCCTACCCTTAGCCTTACACTTTCTCCTTATGCAGTGACCCCAGAGAGTTTCTCTCCATGTCCTTGCTTCTCTCTGGGCCCTCTCAGCAGTCGTCTGCTGTTGCTGTGTGATGCTTCTTGCTCTGGTGGTGGCAGGTGAAGGAAGTGTTCCCTGTCGTTCTAACTAAGCCTCAGTGTTGAGTGGATACTGTGTCTCTGGGTCTCAGGAGTGTGACCTTTTTCATGCTTCTGTTTCTCCCCAGTGATAGTTCTGAGCCCAGCATATACTCCTGCTCCTCCCTGAGGTGTGGAGGATTTTTTTTTTTTTTAACAATTTCCTTCCCAAAGCTGCAGTTGGTATTCAGGAGTGCTCTAAGGGCAATAGTGCTTGTTGCTCTTATTCCCCACTCTAGGTGAAGTTGTTGGGTTTTCTTGTATTGCTTTTGTTTTAACAGGGGAGATAGGGAAGAAGGATCTGGGCAGGTATCCACGCCCTTCCTGCAACAACTGCTTCTCCCCTCCCCTAAGCATGTCTTCTCAGCACTGCTGCCATCATTGTTTATGAGCACCCACTAGGGCCTGTAGAGAGAAGCCTGTGAGTGGTGTAAACTCCCTTTGTATCTGAGGCCATATTCTGTCACCTGCCAATACTCAGATTCCACCAGTTTCTTCACAGTTCTTCTGGGTGTTCAACTGCCCCACGTAAACAAATGCTTGCATCTGACTTTTCCTGTAGGCACTTCTCTTTACTTTGATTTTGGGCTAGTTGGTGCTTCTTCAAATAAACTAGTTGTTTCTTCAACTCTTTGATGGATCCAAGAAAAGTTGTTAACTTGAAGTTCGTTCAACTTATTTTTTTTATTAATTTTAAGGGTGGGAGAGGTATTCTTTCTAGTTCTTTTCCAGCTCCCCAGCTCCAGAGTTGAAGCCAGAAACCTGATCCTCCTTTTTACCCCTAATATCTTCTATTCATAGGGTGACTGTTCGTCCTGGTTTACACCAGTATAATTATTAACAGCACTCACTTTTCACTCAGTTTCTCTGTTTGCATGATAACTTGTATGATCACCTTTTCTTTTGGTAGTTTGTCCTTGAAAAATATTACATAATGAGGTTTCACCAGCAGCATATGTTAGGTTTGGACAGATTTAGTTATCCTGGATAAAAATCAAATATTGAAGATCATTTTGGTGATATTCAAAAGGACATGGAGAGAACAGGTGTAAGTGAAAGACATATCAGCCAAATCTAATGTGTAGACCTTGTTTGGATCCTATTTCAATCCAAAAGGATTTTTTTTTAGAGAATCAGGAGCATTTGAACTTGGGCTAGGGATTACAAGGTATTAAAGTAATGTTATTATTTTGTTAGATATTGCAATGATATTATAGTTATGTTTTTAAAATCTTATTTTTTGTTAGAGATACGTTCTAATGGATTTGGAGGTTTAATGGTGTGATAGCAGAGGTTTCTTTTTGTTTGTTTTTTTGAGACGGAGTTTCACTTTTGTTGCCCAGACTGGAGTGCAATGGCGCGATCTTGGCTCACTGCAAGCTCTGCCTCCTGGCTTCAGGCAATTCTCCTGCCTCAGCCTCCCGAGTAGCTGGGATTACAGGCATGCGCCACCACGCCTGGCTAATTTTGTATTTTTAATAGAGACGGGGTTTCTTCATTTTGGTCAGGCTGGTCTCAAAGTACCGACCTCAGGTGATCCACCCCCCTCAGCCTCCCAAAGTTTTGGGATTACAGGCGTGAGTCACCATGTCCAGCTAGAGGTTTATTTTAAAATACTCAAACACAAAAAGAAAAGTGAAGGGAGAGAGAAAGGTGGTAGGTAAAGACAAGAACAGCAAAATTTTGATAATCACTGAAGCTAGGTGATAGGTATTTGGGGATTCATTATTTTATTATCTTAATTGTTTTCTGTTTGACAATTTCCATAATAAAACTTTTTGTTTTGAGACAAAGTCTCACTCTATCGCCCTGGCTGGAGTGCAGTGGCACGATCACAGCTCACTGCAGCATTGAACTCCTGGGCTCATGCGATCCTCCTGCTTTAGCCTCCTGAGTAGCTAGGACTACAGATGTTCACTGCCATACCTGGCTAATTTTTTACATTTCGTAGTTATGGGATCTTGATATGTTGACCAGGCTGGTCTTGAACTTCTGGCCTCAAGTGATCCTCCTCCCTTGGCCTCCCAAGAAAATAAAAACTTTTAAAGAGAGACAAGGATATGATCAGGAACCTATATCTTAAAAAAAAAAATAAGATGATTATTCAACCATTTAAACTAGTAAGGTGATTTTTTTCTTGTGGCAGAGGCTAGGCAGCTGTGCCTCCAAAATTCATTTGAAAACTTTTTGGTTCAGTGATTATTCAGCAAACCAGATGATCTATGATATGGCAGGTCAAGGAGAACAGAAAGAGGTGAAATGCCATAGTTTCAATGCAGTTCAGTCCTGCAGACCCACTCTGGACCAGGATGGGGGAAGAGCCTTGCAGGTGTCTTCTTAAACCTGACTCAATTTACTGTGTATTCTGTGCAAACTTCAGAGGGAGAACACTGTGCTTTTCTTCCCTTTTATCCAGGTTCTCATTGTCGTTTTATTATCTCCTGCTCATAATATGTAGAGACAAATGCCTTGGGAAGGGTAGTAACAAGGCTGTAAATCCAGTGGAGGAAAGGACTGTTCACTGTTTTGAACAGTGAACAATATGCCTACTGCCATTACTGGCAGATAAAATACATTAAATAAATATTGTATGAAGGAATGAATGAACAAATCCATATTTGCTGCTTGCCACATAGAAGATAAATAAATACTGTCTACATTGAATTGAATTGTGAGTGACAAAATTGAAAAAATAACTTTAGAGTTTATGTTGGACCATTTAATGTCGAACCTCTTCAAAGTCTTTTGGAGATGTCCAGATGGACAAAATCAGCCAATATGATGTTCATGACCAGGCAAGGGAAGCCAAAATGAAGGGCAGCTTTATTTAAAATGAATAGAACAAGATATAGTTACATTCATGCCACTGTTCTTTTAAAATATATCCATAGAAATGATTAGTCCTTTAAAAGTCTTCATGCCACAGTTCTGCAAAGAAATCAGGAGACTTTGTAAATACCCTGTCCGCAAAAAGTTAGAATGACAAGCACCCTTAAATAAACAGGAATAATTAATCATAGGTGTGGTTGTTTTGATGAGCATGCAAGAGTGACAAGTTAATAAATAAGCAGTTCATACAGGGAAAGTGGCTAAGGAGGTGCTGTGGTTTAATTTACATCTTTGGAAGGTAGCAAAGATTTAATAATCTCCCTGCCTCATACATCAAACGAATACCCCTGAGGCAGAAAAGCAAAACGTTTTTAACTGTTAATCTGAGAAGCAATAAAATCCTGCCTCAGGTCACAAATAAATTGAGTTTCTAGTGGTCTCGATGGATCCCTAGTATGTGTGATTTATTCAGATTCTAAAGCTACTCAGGACCACTTAGAGCCTTGGGGGAGTGCCATGGGAGTTACCAATCTAATCAGAAGTTCTAGACTAAGGGCAATGACTGATCTTAGCTTACATCTACCCAATAATTTATTTTACCTTCTTGGTCAACTACAGATAGATTATGAACTACAAACATATGAATTTGAGATTCAGTTCTAAATGATTGTTTTTAGTTGGGGTTGTAACTATCTTTGTGCTTATATAGTACGTGTGTTTAAAAGATCAGAAACTGTTTTGAACTTTCTACTTTGTAAGTGTAGGATTTTCACTGACTAGAGAAACCAGGATGCCAAAAGGGAAATAACTCTCCGTGGCATCATGAGCCATTTGTGAAATCTAAATAATTTTCAGGTTTCCAAAGCAGCTTCATTTCTTAAGCCCCTAAGCTATGGGGTGTATTTCTTACTGGAAAGCAGTCCCAATCTAGACTCCCAAGAAAGGGTTCTTGGATCTTTTGCAATAAAGAGTTCTGGGGGAGTCCATAGAGTAAAGTGAAAGCAAGTTTATTAGGGAAGTAAGCAAAAGAATGGCTGCTCCATAAAAAGCGGGTTGGCATTTTTATGTTTATTTCTTGATCATATGCTAAATAAGGGGTGGATTATTCATGAGTTTTCCAAGAAAGGGGCGGGGATTCCCAGAACTGAGGATTCTTCCCATTTTAGACCATATAGGGTAACTTCCCAATGTTGCCATGGCATTTGTAAACTGTCATGGTGCTGGTGGGAGTGTCTTTTAGCATGCTGATGCATTATAATTAACATAAAATAAGCAGTGAGGATAGCCAGAGGTCACTTTTGTCCCCCTCTTGATTTTGGTGGGTTTTGGCC
Source organism: Homo sapiens (assembly GCF_000001405.40). Taxonomy (NCBI): domain Eukaryota; kingdom Metazoa; phylum Chordata; class Mammalia; order Primates; family Hominidae; genus Homo; species Homo sapiens. The sequence goes on along the minus strand of NW_013171813.1, from coordinate 126,284 downwards.
GGCTTCTTTACCACATCTTGTTTTATCAGTGAGGTCTTTGTGACCTGCATCTTGTGCCAATCCCCAGTCTCATCCTGTGCCTAAGAATGCCTCACCTCCTGGGAATACAGCCCAGCAGGTCTCAGCCTCATTTTACCCAGCCCCTATTCAAGATGGAGTCGCTCTGGCTTGAATGCCTCTGACATATTGATTTTATTAATTTGGAAAACTTTACCCTTATGAATATTGACATAGAAAATATTACCTTCCTTGTTTAAAGGACAGGCAAGGATGGTTTCAGAGAAAGGAGAAGGTAGTTATTTGCATTACATATATATGTGTGTATTTGTTTCTCCAATTTGCCATGAAATACTTTTATAAAGGAATTCGATTGTGAAATATGATCTCTGCTCATCTTTTTACTAACACTGCTTATAATTTCAACTGGATCATTTGTGATGCTTAATGCAGTGCTGTAGAAAATGGAAAAAATGTCCTAAGTTGTTGATATAAAAATAGATAATTCTCTTTCTTTGACCTACCTCCAGCCCTAGAGCTCTAAATCACAGCTGTAAATTAGGTTTATATTTTGTCATGTCTTCCAGGGGTGCAATGACTGACACAAAACATGGTTCAGACTATAATTAGCTCATCCATCCAACTTAGCAATAAGGAAAAGACATATCAACTCAGATTTACCTGGGCTGCTCCTTCCTGCCTCTTTCTGGGGTAGGCTGGATTCTCTTGGTCAGGAGTTTAGGTTGTGCCAGGCAGGAGAAGGCTTAGAGGAGAATCTCCTCCTCCTTCAGCAGTTCACTTAGCAAACATTCATGGAGTGCTCTGCATATCCGGCACTGCCTCAGGTCCTGGGGTGTAAGGATCACAGAATGACAGAGGCAAAGAGCACTGCGTCTGTTTCCTATGGATGCTGTAACAAATTCCCATGAACTCAGTGGCTTAAAACAACACAAATTTCTTATCTTACTGTTCTGAAGTCCGGAAATCCAAAATCAAGATGTTAGCAGGGCTGTTTCTGTTCCTTTCTGGAGGTTCTAGGGAAGAATCTGTTTCCTGGTCTTTTGCGGCTTCTTGAGACCATCTGCATTCCTTGGCTCATGGCTCCTTCATCATCCCTTCAACTTTTGCTTCTCTCTTCGCATCTCCTCTTACTCAACCTGACTTCCTGCCTCCCTCTCAGTAGGACCCCTGTGATTACATTGAGCCAAGTTGGATAATCCAGAATAAACTTCCCATCTCAAAAATCCTTAATTTAATCACATCTGCAAAGTCCAATTTTCCATATTAAGTAGCGTTCATGGGTTCCAGGAACGAGGATGTGGACATCTTTGTGGGGCCATCATTCAGCACAGATTTGGGCATTGGACTGCTCTGTCAGTCTCCAATTTAATATGACTATTATGTAAATTTCTTAACCTTCCTGCAAAATGGAATAAATAATGCCCATCTCACAGAGTTGCCTGACAATTAAATGCCTGAAAGCAATTAGCACCATGTCTGACTTGTATGACAAGTTCAATGAATGGGAAGTTCAGGAATTATTGTTCTTGTAATTCAGTGATGAAAGGGCACAGTCTCCCCTCTCAGAGGACTTCAAGTCTGGTGAAGAAGATGAACAAGTATACAAATAACTACAGCTCAGTATGAGACAGTGTGATAAGGGCTATATTTGTCTGAAGTCACAAGGGTTCTCCTCACCTGACTTCAATCAGTCTCTTAGAGATGATCAGCTAACTCTTGAGTTTTGAGGTGAAGGAAGGCAAAACAAAACATTGTCTGAAGCTATGGTTGATATAAAATGCCAGGTACTGGAAGGTTGTGTATTTTAATTTTGATGAGGTCATATTTTCTTTTCCTTTTTTCTTTTTCTTTTTTTTTTTTTAACAGAATCTTGCTCTGTCGCCCAGGCTGGAGTGCAGTGGCACAATCTCGGCTCACTGCAACCTCCACCTCCCGGGTTCAAGCAATTCTCTGCCTCAGCCTCCCCAGTAGCTGGGATTACAGGAGCCTGCCACCATGCTGGGCTAATTTTTGTATTTTTAGTAGAGACAGGGTTTCGCCATCTTGGCCAGGCTGGTCTTGAACTCCTGACCTCGTGATTCACCCGCCTCGGCCTCCCAAAGTGCTGGGATTATAGGCGTGAGCCACCGTGCCCGGCTGGTCATATTTTCTTTAAGAGAAAACGATATTCTGGTCTTGAGCTATTATTTTAACTGCCCTGGGGTTAGGGAATGTGCTATTTAACAAGTAATGGCCTTGGAGGGCTAAGACTATGTTGGGTGGTAAAAGGAAAGGCAATAATGTAAAAGAAAGTTGAAATTTCATTCTGTTCCTCTTTCCTCTTCTTTCCTCTGTACTGCTGACTTTCATACCCTCCCTCCCCAAAGGGAAGGAGTGCCAATATGATTGGAAATATTCCAGTATTCTAGTTGGGCCAAGTTTCCTAGTGACCAGAGTCCCTCTGTATGAAAAAGTCTGCACTCTGAGTGGGTGCCATTCATGTGTTTCTTCTGTAAGTTTTTGCTTTGTTTAGTTTTGTTTTGAGACAAGGTCTCCCTCCATTGCTCAGGCTGGTGTGCAGTGGTGCAATCACAGCTCATTGCAGCCTCAACCTCCAGGCTCAAGCAATCATCTCATCTCAGCCTCATGAGTAGCTGAGATTACAGGTGTGTGCCACCACTCCCAGCTAATTTTTGTATTTTTTGTAAAGATGAGGGTCTTACTGTGTTGCCCAGGCTGGTTTTGAACTCCTGGACTCAGGTGATCCTCCCATGATCTCAGCCTTCCAGAGTGCTGGGATTATAGGTATGAGCCACTGCACCCTGCCTGTCTCTCCTGTAGTAAGTACCAGGGTCCACATTCTTCCTTCTCTATAGCAGCTGGCCTGAGCACATATGCTCTCCCTGTTCTGTCTTGTTTCCTAATTTGATCCCCATCTTACTTAACCATGTAGCAGCATGTGACACAGATTGTTGTCTTGACCTCTAGAGCACCATTTTCTCCTGTTTGCCTCCTATCTTGTGTCCACTGCTTCTCAGTCATCTCTGTTGGGTCCTCATTTCCCCGACTTAACATTCAAATACCCCAAGGCTCAGTCCCAAGACATCGTCTCCCTTCTGTCTCTTATGGATTTAAATATCATCTCTATATTGATGATGTTGGCATTAATTTTCTATAGCAGCTTAAAACAACATGAATTCACCTTACAGTTTTTAGGTCAGATGTCTGACATGGGTCTCACTGGGCTGAAATCAACCTGTCAGTGGGGCTGCCTTCCTTTCTAGAGGTTCTAGGGAAGAATTTGTTTCCTTGCCTTTTTCAGCTTCCAGATGCTTCCTGCATTTCTGAGCTTGTGGCTACCTTCCTTTATTTTCAAAGCCCACAAAATCTTATCTCTTGGAGCCTTCTTTGGCCACAGCAGGAAGAGTTATCTGCTTGTAAGGACCCATTTGATTCCACTGGGCCTGCCCAGAGAATCCAGGATAATCACCCATCTCAAGGTCCATCCTTTAATCACATTGGCAAAGTCCTTTTGTTGCCGTGTAAGGAAATATATTCACAGGTTCTGAGGATTGGCCCATGAACATCTTTTGGGAGGACATTGTTCTGCCTACAACAATGGCCAAATATATGTCTCCAGACTAGACCATTCTCCTGAACTCCAGAACTGTATATTCAATCACCTACTTGGCATCTCCATTTGGCTGTTTGGTAGACATCTCTAACCTACCTTGTCCAAAACTGAGCTCTTGAGCAACCTCCCCAAAACCTGCTCTTCTCACATTCTTCACCATGTCAGTGGATGGAACCTCTGCCCTTCAAATTGCTCAGGCCAAAACTCGATAAGGATTACCCTTGACTCCTCTCTTCCTTTTGCTCCTGTATCTAGTCTTTCAGCAAATCCTGTTGGCTCTACTTTTAAAAGTTATTGATAGTGTGACAACTTTTCACCTCCTTCACTGCTATTGCCCTTTCTTAGCAACCATCACCTCCCATAGACCATTACAATAGCTTTCTAATGGTGTCTTTGTGTCTGTCTTGCTCCCTTTCATTCTATACCCAACACAGCAGCCAAAGTGATCTCATTGAAAAATAAGTTGGGTAAAGTCATTCCTCTGTTCAAAAACCAGAGACAAATTTCCATGTCACTTGGAGCAAAAGTCCAAGTCCTTAAAATGGCCTACAAGGCGCTAGGTGCTTTGTGTCCCCAGCCCTCACATTCTGTCTTTGGCCTTCTCTCTTCACCTTGCACGAGCCATCCAGCCACAGCAGCTTCCTTACAATTTCACAAATATTCAAAGCACTTTCACACGTCAAGATCTTCACACAAGCTGTTTCCTCTGCCTGGAACTCTCTGCCTCTAAAAAACCACATGGCTTACTCTGTCACCTCCTCCAAGTGTTTGTTCAAATGTCGCCTTTTTAGTGGGAGCCACCCCGAAACCTTTTATTTAAAATTGTATCTCTCTTACATTGCCCTTTTATGCTTTGTTTTTCCTGCACTTTATAATTTACTTATCTATCTTGCTATGGTCTATTTCCTCCATTAGAAAGTAAACTCCACAGAGGAAGGAGTTTATTCTTTGTGTTCGCTGCATATCCTCAGTACTAAGAACAGCGCGTAGTGGATTCTCAATTAAATGGGTGCGTGAATGAGTGAATGAATTCTCTCTAGCATCAGTGAGTGGATTTTGTTTTCTCCTTCCTTCCATCAAAATAATGAAGACCTCACTTGATCACTGGGAGGCTGGGATGAACAATGCAACACTGGCCAGCTCTCGTTTTAGGATGAGAGGCTTCTGAAAATTGACCTGCTTACTACTTGTACAGGTTTTTTACTGAAGAAATAAAACAAACAAGTCAACCCACTGATCCGTCTCTCAGTGCTTGCAATGAGAAAAGTTACAAAATTTAATCACTGTCTGTCATTTCTGATTCAAGGGAGTTAATAAAAGGATTAGATTAGTCCTCCTCTACCAGCTTCTCCTTACACTAAGAAGCAGGTGGTTGTCATGCCCACAGAGTCTGACTTGGAGTAAGCTCTTTTCTGTGTGCCATTCCTCTTGGAAGGAGTCCAAAACTAGCCAGACATTTGAGGGGAAAAAAAGGAACAAATTTCAAGGGAGTTGAGAAAATGCAGTGTTCTGAATTTTTTTCTCCCTATTGCTTTGTTTACCAGGCTGACCTTGAACTTCTGGGCTCAAGCAATCCTCCCAGAGTAGCTGAGACTACAGGTGTGAGCCAACATGCCCATCTATTTTTTTAAAGAGGAATTAATTACGTTCATTTAAAAGGGAAGGAATTCTCCTCTGAATTCAAGGTCTAAAAATTGATTCCAGGTTTGGTGTAGGAAATGTAAATGATGAACCTGGAACCTTTTGTTATGTTCAGGAAGGAAGAAAACCATTGACTGCCAGAGTTGTGGTGAATGGAACAGGAACAATTACGAGAATCAAAAAGAATAATCACTGCAATTGACTGAAGCATATCAAACATAAAAATATCTGAGCTCATTATGATACGTTAGAAAACTGTCATTCTAAATTTCTATGGTACCAACTCATTACTCTGGAAATTAATGAAGGTTCAGAATCAAGAATTTATTCTGTTTTTTTCTATATGAACTCTATTCAGGGAAAAATAGCTGATGAGGCAAGTTATTCTTTGTATTTGTATTTTTATTTTTTCTTTTTCTGATTTTGAAAGTTACTGAAGATGTCAGGGTAGAGCATAAGAAACTACTTTTTTCCTCCTGGGCCATTTGAGAGTCAGTTACCAACCTGATGCCCATCACTCCTGAACACTTCAGTGTGCATTTCCTACAAACAAGGACACTCTTAGATAACCATGGTCCAATCAGTAAAATTAGGAAATTTAACACTGTTAAGCCAGTTGTTCCAATAACATCCTTTGTAGCAAAAGGATCCTTTTCTTGCAATCATGTGGTGCATTTATTTCCTAAGTTTCTTTAGTCTTTTTCATTCTGGAATAGTTTCTTAATCTCTGACTTTCATGACCTTGGCACTTTTGATGATTACAGGTCAGTTACTTTGTAGACTGTCCTTCAACTTGGATTTGTTTGATGCTTCCTTGTGATGAGATTCAGGTCGTGCAGTTTTGGAAGGAATATCACAGAACTGAAGCTGTGTTGTTCCTTTTGCATCTTATTATCCCATGAAACATTGTTTTGGTGTGTCCCATCTCTGATGAGGTTCACTTTGATCACTTGATTAAGGCAGTGCCTGTCAGCCTTCTTCACTGTGAAGTTTCTCTTCTCTTTGTAACTAACAAGTATTTTATGAGGAGATACTTTGAAAATATTTAAATATCCTGTTCCTCGTCAAACATTCATTTTATTCATTTATTTATATCAGTTGGACTCCTGGATTCTCATTTTATTCAATGAGTTGTAGATAATTTGTTACTATCATCATTGATTTTGATGCTCACATTTCTCAGATTAGAAATGTCAGCCCTCCATCAATCTGGCTTCTGTGTCCACTTGGCACACCCCATCTTTCTTTGAGTGCATGAGTGCATCCTTGCTTTCTGGCTCAGCATGTTCAGGCATATCTGGTGTTCTCTTTACTCCAACTCTTGAAACAGACATTTCTCCAAGGACTTCTGATTCCTTTTAGTAAAGAATAGTATTTAGAAACCAAGATCAGGTGTCATTACCGTTAGGGCATTATTGCTCCCAGCCCCTTTTACACTCCTAGTGGATAGAACTAGAGAAAAATATGTAAGTGTGTATGAGTGTGTGTGAGTGTGTGTGTATGTAATGCAATGAGTGAACCTTGTGTGTATTCTGGTTCAAATGAACCAGTTGTAAAAACACATTTTGAGAGAGTTGGGGGAAGTTTATATGAACTGAGAATTAGATGATATCAAGGACTTGTTAATTTTGTTATACGTGACAAAGTCATTGTAGTCATGTTAAAAAAAAAAGAAGTCCTTATCTGAGAGAGGCAGCTGACATATTTACAAGTGAACTCTACCTTCAAGTGGGGTAAGTGAGATACAGGTGGAATATAGAAAGGACTATCTAATTTATTATTCCATATCTATATATATACACACACACATACATACACACATATTGTATGTATAGATATAAAATGTGAGATTAAACTTGAGCTTATTATACGTTATATATATATATAATGTGAGATTAAACTTGAGCTTATTTTACAAGTATCTGAAGTCTCAGCGCTTTACATGCAATGTTTGAACTCATTTAAACCAAAAGCTTCCTGTTGAAAGTAAACTTGAATCACAAGCCCCATTTTATAAGACCCAGAAAGGCTTTGATATGTCTGGAGTAGAAGACTTGTCTCCTGACCTTGAGTTTAGTGCATAATATACATCTTATCTCAAAGATAGAGTTGATAATTTGTACTGTCATAATGTATTCTTGGCTTTGGTTCAGGTTATGTGACATTAAAAGATTACTTAGGACCAAATGCAAAACCTTTCATAATCCTGTCTGTGAACTGTTGCTGGTTTGAGCACAGGGGCCGATATAGACATAAGGACATCTGTCCCTCACTGGGCAGGGGAGCTGGCCTCTAGCCTCTACAGCTGTTCCCTGCTGGAGCGGCCATAGTTCAGCAGTGCTTATTAACATTTTGAGCAGCTGTGGCAGCAAGCAGTTTGGTACAAAACAATCCATCAATTAATCTCTTTGTTATTGGACAGTTCAGACGCTTGTGCCTTGGTTAATGCTGTAAAAGGGTTGAGAAGGGTGTGACTCTTGTCTGTTACAGACAGTGACCCCACAGGAAGCTCCAGAGCCCGGAGAAGAGTGACAGTGTCAGGAGGTGGCGAGACAAATAGTGTGTGGGTTGTACACAACTCGCTCAACCCTGGCTGGCTGTGGCTTTGTCTCCCACCCTAGGAAGCATATTAGAATGGCAGCAAGGAGACAGCCAACCTCAGCTCCTCTTTATAAAGAAAAGTAAATTATTGGAAAACTTTAATACTTGGAGCATTGCTAACAAACTCTTGTCAGAATATCATGGTTCAGAGGCACTGTTCTAGTGGAATACTTTTAATAAAGAAAAGAAATGAAAAACAATCTCTACACACTTCCACAGAATTGTCCAGAGGCCCGACTCTTGCCAATGCTGAAAAATCCCTTGGAAATCTTCAGCTTTGCACTTAATTACCACCTCCTTTGGCTGTCTCTCTTTTACTGCTTTTCTCTCCTTCCCCTGTGATTCCCTTCTTGTTGCCAAACACACTTTCTCTTCCAGACACCATCTGCTTTCAGAATACATTTGCACTTTTTTTTCCTACCCAAAGTGGCCCTACTCTAGGGCCTATGTTTTCCCCTTTCTGGACTGCTGCTGTTGTGTTAGCGCCTGGGTTGGTGGGAAGCACAGCTGTGGCTTGCAGAATTGAAATATAGTTGGGAACCCAACAGAGACATTGTTTTCTGGCCTGGCAGTATGATTTATGTTCCTGGTGCCCCCATCCTCTTAAGAATCTCAGGGCTCAGGGATTGGTTTGTGGTATGTCTTTAAATGTATTTTGTTTGTTACACAAATTCAAAGAATTCCTAAGCATATAAAGGAGGAAGTGAAAGTAATTCTCTGCAACACCAGTCACTTTCCCCAGAGGTAAGTGACACGCATAGAGACCCTAGTGACTGTTCTCCAGTGTCATGCATGGCCTTCGGTCTTTTTGGTATGCATGTATCAAAATGTGTAATATAAATACATAGAAATGGGATCATGCCATATATACACCTGCAACTTGCTTATTATTACTTTAAATAAATATCCTGGGCATCTTTTCATGTCAGTATACGTACATTTTCTCATTACGTTTAACAGCTGGTATTCCACAGTGTGCATATATATGGCTTATTTACTCAGTCCATTGCTGATACATATTGTTTCCAATTTCTCATTATTATTACCAATGTCTAGCACATTTATCTTTATACATGTACAACTGTATCTGTAGGAGAGTTGGAATGGCTGCGTCGAAGGGTATGGTATAGGAATTTTAAACATTGGTAGATAATGTCCTAAACTTTATATCTAATCACTAAAGCATTTTCTCCCTGAAATTATCAGAAATTATATGGGATAAGTGATAACTGAAGTGTAAAGTGTAAGGTATTTTACAAAGTATTTTTGTTCAATTTATTTAACACTGACAGGTATTCTGTAAGGGAGTGTTACGGACTGAATGTTTGTGTCCCACTCACCCCCCAAATTAATAGGTTGAGATGGTGGTATTAGGAGTGGTATTAGGAGGAGGGTCCTTTGGAAGGTGATTAAGTTATGAGAGTGGAGCCTTATAAATGGGATTAATGCCCTTGTGAAAGAAACCTCAGAGAGTTCCCTCACCCCAGTGAGAAGATGGACATCTATGAACCAAGAAGTGGGCCCCCACCAGACACCAAACCTGCTGTAACTTTGGTCTTGGACTTCCCAACCTCCATGACTATGAAAAATAGATGTTTGTTGTGTAAGCTGCGCAGTCCATGGTATTTTGTTATAGCTGTCCGAACGAGCAGTCATTGAGGGAGGCAATGTTATCTCCAATTTACAGGTGAAGAAATTGAAGCTCACTGAGATTAAGTGATTTTCCCAAAATAACATAGCCCAGAGCCCAGAAGCAGCAGAGCTGAGCTAAGCTCCAGGCCCTCTTCTCCATTTTTTCTTTTTTTTCTTTTTTTTTTTTTTTTGAGGCAGAGTCTCACTCTGTTGCCCAGGCTGGAGCACAGTGGCTCAATCTCTGCTTACTGCAGCCTCCACCTCCTGGGTTCAAGCAATTCTTATGCCTCAGTCTCCTGAGTAGTTGGGATTACAGGCACACGCTACCACGCCTGGCTAATTTATACATATATATGTGTGTATATATATATGTGTATATATTTATGTGTATATACACATATATATACATATACACACACACGCACATATATATACATATGTATATATATATACACATATATACATATGTATATATACACACATATATACATATGTATATATACATATATACATATATACATATATACATATATACACATATGTATATATACATATATACATATATATACATATGTATATATATACATATATACATATATATACATGTATATATCTATATGTATATATATATATATATTTGTTTTTTTTTTTTTTTTTTGGTAGAGATGGGGCTTTGTCATGTTGGCCAGGCTGGTCTTGAATTCCTGACCTCAAGTGATCTGCCTGCCTTGGCCTCCCAAAGCGCTGGGATTACAGGCATAACCACCGTGTCTGGCCCTCCAGGCCCTCTTCTGTCTCCAAACCTGAGATTCCTTGTCCTGTACCTACTGCCTCCCCATGAACGTGCACTGAGCCTTCTGCTGTGATGGATCCATTGAACGTAGGTAGAGAGGCTATGGAGGGACTATTGGCCAGCAAACTTCATCCTAGGTAGCACAGCCATGGCCATACAGACATTTCTCTCTCTGCTGTCACTTCCTTAGTGATCTCATCTGGTCATAGCTTTGAATACCACTGATATATCAGTGACTCCCAAACTTCTATTTTCAGCTTAGGACTCTCTCCTTAACATATCCTATGCTGAACTTTTGATCTTTCATCCTCAACCTGCTCTACCTATAGCCTTCACCATCTCAGTGGGTTACTTAATTCTTCAGGCCTGAATCCTTGATTCCTTTCAATCATATACCTCATTGATAGGGAATACGCCCAAGCCCATACTGCCAGGTGTGAACTGAAATCCAGGCATGTCTTTCTGTAAAGCACACCTAGGTTATACTGCCTTATTCTAACCCCTTATTCTAACTGAAAATAGAATTCTGACCCAATCCCTGAAATGTGTCCTCTAATTTGGGAGTCAATGGGCTGAGTGAATGTTTAGTGATGAGATCACATTCTTAATAAATTTATTTCTACTGGTTTCTAGGACTACAAAAATCCAGAGTCTGAGTTAAACATATTGAAGACATAATTTAATTGTAGCTGATCTCAGTGGACCCAGTATCTTGAAAGCACACAAATCTTCCCTAGATCAGTTCTTCCACATTGCATGCAAATGAGGTAGGGGAAGAATGGCAGAGGGAGAAAAATGGAAGGGAGGTAATGAGTCTGGGAAAGGAGCCTCTTGCAATTTTTTACTTTTTTTATTTTTTGAGACAGAGTCTTGCTCTATCGCCCAGGATGGAGTGCAGTTGCCCAATCTTGACTCACTGCAACCTCCACCTCTCAGGTTCAAGTGATTCTCGTGCTTCAGCCTCCTGAGTAGCTGGGATTACAGGTGCGTACCACCAGGCCGGCTAATTTTGTATTTTTAGCAGGGACAGGATTTCGCCATGTTGGCCAGGCTGGTCTTGAACTCCTGACCCCAAATGATCTGCCTGCCTCGGCCTCCCAAAGTCCTGGCAATACAGGCGTGAACCATTGTGCCTGGCCTGCCTCTTGCTATTTATTCTTTCTCTCTCAAAAGAATCAAGGTCAGAAGGAATGTCTTTCCATGGAAAGGCTGCTGAGTTGGGGGGTTTGGACAGGAGCTGGCAAAGCCATGGCTCCTTCTCAATGCACAAAGGAAAGAAAACTCTTAAGTAAACTGTGGTGAAACTGAAATTCTGGACCAGGAGGGGGATTTCACTTGTCATGACGCACTTAGCATCTGAGCATATACTTTTGGTATTTGTGTTTCTGTATATATGTTCGTGTGTCGAACGTTGTCAAACCCAGAAACCAAAAGTTGAACAGTCTAGGTGCCATTTTAATTATAATTCAGTTATCAACTGGACGTCCTTGGTCCTAAGAAATTTAGATAAAACTCAAACCTTCAATTGTACATTCTGGCTAAAATCTGCCTGGGACAGAGGGGTTTCCTGAGTTGTGAGACTCTCAAGGCTAACACTGGAAAAATCCTGGACAAACTGTGACAAGTTGGTCACCCTGAGCTTATCTGAAGCCAGAGCCCTCACCACTATTTTCGCTCATTCTGAACAGCTTAATTTTTTTCTGCCCCCTTCTTTGTGGCTCCCATATTCAGGCTTTCTTAAATTCTACCTCTGGGGGACCTGCATGCAAAGCTGAATTCCTTCATGGGTTTTTGCAAAGGATTCACTCTCACTCTGCATTTAACGAAGTAAGCAGCTTTCTAGGAGACTTAAGGGGGTCGCAGATTCCACTGAACAGCCTTTAATCATCCATTCCATTTCTCACTATTCCTCTTTTTCTTTCTCCTCCCTTCAATCTTTGTTGCAATCAGGAAATTTGTTCTCTATCTTATCTGGAGTATTCCTGCCCCGCAAGGTCCCTGGTAGCAGGGGTCCTCATGTTTTATTTCATGAGGAGATTATACCAAGAAGTCTTCCCAACAAAGTTGGGTCTCACTAAAAGGAATTCTTAACCCAGTGACTGAGATAATAAAATCATGTTTATTACATAAGATAATGAAGACTATTTTATATACACATGGATATAAATTTTTGACCTAGTTTGGGAATTATTAAGCTGGCTTCCTTTTCTCCCTTTCACAAAGATTGTGTAAGATGTAACTCCACCCCCAATTACACAATGCTGGTTATTTTCTTTTCTCATGGAGTTTACCAGTGGGAGCTAAACTGAGGGTACAGCTTAACTGTCTTCTTGTTTTGGGGACAAGGAATTTTCCTCAGAGGTCCATGGTTTGATGCATTAACAAACCCCTCAGGATACTGGCTCTGCAAGGGGAATTGTGTGTGCATCCTAAAAATCAAGTGATGCATCTTTCCTAACAGAAGGCATTAAAGATTCAAGTCAGACTTGGATAAGAGGCCCTAATAATGAGAAAGTTGTCAAAGCCATTCATCAGGAAGAAGCTAGAGGGAGTGGGGCCAGATAGATGAGATTCCAGGAGGTTTCTGGGGGAGGATCCTTTCTGCTTCTCTTGGAGGTGACACATCTGTGAAGCGGGGGAACCTGTTTGGGGTGCCGGTCAGAAGTTTCACCTGGCTTTCGCTTCCTATTATTCAGCATGTCTGCACTCTGGGAGAGGCGATGTGTGTTATTTACAGAGAAATAAACCAGGAGAAGAGGGAGGCATAGGGAAACGCACACATGGATGATAATGGTAGGCCAAGAAAGTTTAACATTTGAAAACCTTCCCCAAGTCTCTGCCCATGTCCCCATTTGAAAAAGCTGAGTTTCACTGATCAGAGAACAACAGTACTAATGATAATAGCTAACATTTGTTGAATGCTAACTGTGTGCCAACACTGTGTTTAGTCCACACATGAAAAGATGTTCAACTTGATTGGTCACCAGGGAAATGTGAATTGCAACCACAATATGATAGCTCTACAGATGCACTAGAATGGCTAAAATGAAAACATCAGAAAAATACTAAGTGTTGGTAAAGATGTGGAGCAACTGAATTCTCATACACTGCTAGTTTGGATTTAAATGGGAACAACCACTTTGGAAAACTTGCTGGCAGTATCCACTAAAGCTGATACCTCTGATCCAGAAATTGTAAATGTATGTTCACCAAAAGATGAGTACAAGAATTTTCATAGCACCACTCTATTTGTAATAGCTCCAAACTGGAGACAGTCCCAATCTTCATCAACAGTAGAATGGATAAATAAATCATAGTCTATTTGTAACATGAACTATTACATAGCAATGAGAATGAATGAACTCTAACTACACGTGACACTATGGATGAGTCTCACTCCTTATAGTAACCCTATGAAGCAGTTCCTATGATTACTCCCATTTTACTGATAAGGGAAGCTGCTTACTTCATTAAATGCATAGTGAGAGTGAATATTTTGCAGAAATCCATAAAGGAATTAAGCTTTGCATGCAGGTCCCCCAGAGGTAGAAATAGGAAGGCCTGACTATAGGAGCTACAAAAGAGGGCACAGAAAAAATTAAGCTGTTTGGAATGAGCAAAAACGGTAGTGAGGGCTCTGGGTTCCTCATTTGTAAACTGGGAAGTGCAGTAGCTAGGATTCAAACCCTGGCTATTGAGCTCCAACCCTTCACCAGGATGCACCACTGCCCCCTAGGCCTCTACTCATACAAGCAGCCTGTGTTTGGTATGTGTGTGGGGGGTAGAAGTAGTGCAGGCTGACTTTGCAAAAGGCATCTATCAGCTAACTTTGACTACCATGTGTTAGGCTTTGTATATTAACATTACTTAGAGCATAAGGTTTAATCCTCACAACAGCCCTTTGCAGTGGGTTCTGTCAACATGCCCATTTCTACAAAAGGGAAAACAGATGCAGAGAGGTAAAGTCAGTCATCTGAGGTTGTATGACCTTAGCTACCTCTCTGCATCTAGTGTGTGATAGAGCCAGGATTCAAAGTAAGCCTTCCCCATCCCGCTACCTGGCTCTTCGCAGCACCAATAGGACAGCAAAGCCATGGGGCCACAGTGCCAACAGGAACCATCGTACCAGATCACAGGGCTTGAGTTCCTCGAGCTGTCCCTTGACAACAACAATGGAGATTTGAGGCTAAACCCTTGAGGTTTCATGAGGCCACCTGGCTTCTGAGCAAACTCTCTGCCATAGGTTTTCTTCACTGTTTTCAAGAGAAGAGGAAACGGGCATGTCCATGGCGCTGTCTATGTCTTCTTGGAAACAAAAAAGACTGTTAATCAGTCCTCTCTACAGCTTCTCAGCTTCAAAATTGGAAGCTATGTCGAAGTGCTCCTGGAAAAGCTGCTTTCTAGCAGTTCTGCCTGCTAGAAAGGGCCCCTTCTAGCAGGCAGAACAGAGAGGACTTGTACTGGAGAGAAAAAGTTACCTAGCATATGGTGGGCATGTGCGTGGAATTCCCCAGTGAGCTCTGGAATGGGCACGGGCCTGTACCTTGGGGCTCTCGAATAAGAAGCCTGGGCCCTACCAACGTCTGGCTTCTGCTGCTCAAGAAACAGATGCTAGGCCTTCCTGCATTGCCAAGAGCAGAGACCTTTGGGGACTCAAGTTTGTTTGGCTTGAATGTGTTGGTGGAGAAATGAGAAGGTAGGAGTGAGGGCATCTTTTAACATTATCCCATGATTGTAGAGCTTCATCCTCTCCAGCCTTAATTATGACAGTAGCCTCCTACCTGGTCTCCCTGATTTCAGCCCTTCTTCTCCCTAACAGACCTTTCTCACAGCTCCCAGGTTGTGAATCCCTTGCCGGATGCTCCAGCTGCCACTTACCCAAGCACATGATGCTGTTGAATGTCGTTGTGTTTTGCAAATGTTGAATCATCTGCCTACAGTACCTTTCCCACTCAACGTGGCAAGAACCTACTTATTTTTGGAGGCCCAGTTCACAAGCTTTTTCTTTGGTGTTGCCTTCTCTCACCACCCTCCTGGGTAGAGTTCATTGTTCCTGTCTTAGCACTTCCAAAACACTCTTTTTCTTTTTAACACAGAACATCCTGGCTCTAGCAATGTACTGTAATTATTCGCCATCCTGTCTGTAGAGTAGACTGTGAGCTCCTTATGGGCAGCAGACATGGCGCATTCACACATTTATCCTCATATCCCTAATATCTAACAGTACCCAGCTTGCCCAGGAGGTGAGTGTTTGCTGGATGAAATCCAAAGGCCCAGCAATCACACGCCCACCCAGCCACTCACCCCCTCCCCCTGCCACGCACACAGGGTGCAGTGGCTCATGCCTGTCTGTAATCCCAACACTTTGGGAGGCTAAGGCAGGAAGATTGCTTGAGCCCCAGGGTTTGAGACCAGCCTGGGCAACATAGTGAGACCTCATCTACACACACACACACACACACACACACACATACACACAGAGAACAAACAAGCAAACAAACTCAAAGGCACAGTTTTGAAGTATGAATTCATAGTACCTTTGCAGCTCCAACTCGGCCATTGAAAAAAACATGTCCTTCTCAGGCTGGCTTTCCCCTCCACAGTCACATGACTACGTCACTCATACATGCCCCTTCTGGCCATTTCAACATCAGTACAAGAAACTGTAGCTTTTACGCAAGGCAACGAGTTGCTTTCGGCCATCTCAGCTTTCTCATCCAGGTAGGTGGTCGTTATCAGTGATGTGGTCTAATCTGTAATGGAGTAATTGCACATGGGGAACAAGAGCTTATTTAATCGGTGTCCCCCAACTCCCATGATGGGTTACTGATATCAAAAGGTGTTTTTTGTTTGTTTGTTTGTTTTTAGATGGAGTCTTGCTCTGTACCCCAGGCTGGAGTGCAGAGGCGCGATCTTGGCTCACTGCAACCTCCGCCTCCTGGGTTCAAGCAATTCTCTGCCTCAGCCTCCCGAATAGCTGGGATTACAGGCGCATACCACCATGCCCAGCTAATTTTTGTATTTTTAGTAGAGACAGGGTTTCACCATCTTGGCCAGGCTGGTCTTGAACTCCTGACCTCGTGATCCACCCACTTCGGCCTCCCAAAGTGCTGGGATTACAGGCATGAGCCACCACGCCCGGCCACAAAAGTTTTTAAAATGGCTGGGAATGGGGGCTCACATGTATAATCCCAGCAGTCTGGGAGGACAAGGCAGGAGGACCAGTTGAGGCCAACCCGGGAAACACAGTGAGACCACATCGCCACAGAAAAATGTTAAAATTATTCAGACGTGGTGGCATGCACCTGTAGTCCCAGCAACTCAGGAGGCCGAGGCGGGAGGATGACTTGTCCCTGGGAGATCAAGGCTGCAGTGAGCTGTGATGGTGCCACTGCACTCCAGCCTGGGCAACAGAGCAAGACTTTGTCCCCAAAAAGAAAAAAATATCAACTAACCAAACAAACAAAACTTTAGTAAGCAAGCCTCCCACCCCTCTTTATAAGGGGGTTTTTACAGAGTTCTCATAGGTTCTCCCCAAACCCCACTCTCCAGTTTCTCCTAGTATTAACATTTTACATTACTATGATACATTTGTTGCAATTAATGAACCAATACTGATGCATTATTATTAATTAAAGTTTACAATGTATTCAGATTTCCTTAGTTTTTACTTAATATCTGACCTTCTCTATTCAAGGATCCCCTCCAGGGTCCCACATTGCATTCAGCCATCCTGTCCCCTTTGGCTCCTCTCTCATCTGACAGTTTCTCAGACTTTTCTTGCTGACCTTGACAATTTTAAGGGGTTCTGGTCAAGGGTATTATAGGGTGCCCCTCTATTGGACTGTTTCTGTTGTTTTTCACATAATTAAACTGGGGTTATGGGTTTGGGGGAGGAAGATCATAGAGGTAAAGTAGTATTGTCATCCCATCATATCAAAGGAGTAAGTAAATTGTTTAAAAAGTGAGAGTATGATCGTTTTTCCCTCTTCCTCAAACCTGTGTTTCCTCCTATAGTTGCTGTTTCTATTAATGGCCTCATCACACACACAGTCATGAAGGCTAGAAATTGCATCTACTCTTTCTTCTCCATCCTCCATCCACCTAGTCAATTTCTAAGAAGCCATTGCCCCAGAGCTTCCATATTCCCCCCTTCTCTTATCCATACTGCCTCTGGTTAACCCCGTATTATTTTTTCCGTAAATGATTACCATAGCCCCAACTGGTTTGCCAGGTTCCACTTCCCTACCTCTCCATTTTATTCTTCTTAGTAGTTTCAACTTACTAGTGGTTTAATACCAACTCCATCTTCATAAATCTTAGAATGGTTTTCTGTCACATACAGAATAATGTTCCAACTTCTCAGTATGGAATTCAACCTCTTCAGATGCTAGCTCCAGATGACTTTGTGGTAAACACTAGTTCCCTTAATCTATAATTAATGGGCTATAGGCATTTAATTAGCTGAAAAAGAAGTTGGCATTTTCTTAAATTGTTTTCTCCAGAAGAGTTAATGAAACTATGTGTATATTTGTGTGTGTGCATACATGCACATGCGTGTACAATGTGTAGACCTCACTGGGGATGCATATCTCTCTCCAGGTACCCATGGCCCAAAGGGTGGTGAACACACCCTGCCCACTTGCTGCATCGTTTGTATCAAGTTTAGAAAAGCTGAGAAGATGGTAAGGAGAAAATATACTTGCCCAGAAGTGTGTGTGTGGATGTTCAACAAGATCCCAACTCATTTTTTCTTTTTTAGTGGCTTAAAACAAGAGCACCTTTTATCTCCTGGTTGCTGTGGGTCAGGAATCCCCTGCACAGCGCGGCTGGTTCCCCTGGCTGAGGGCCATTCACAAGATCCTTCATTGAGGTATTGACTTCTCCATTCATTTTTGCACTTCAATCACAAACACTTCTTAAAATTAATTGGCCAAACCTCAGCTTCTTGAAACTTATATAATGCAGAGAGCCTCTGTCACATTCTGGGAATGGCATTTAAATGCAAATTGAATTCCTTCTTTCATGGGATAGCCAGTTGTCTATGTCACAGGATGTAAAAATAATTCATCATGCTTGATTGTGTAATACGGCTGTCCTATATTATACTTTAATGACAAAATTAATTGGCTTTCAGATTCCATCTGTCGCTATTCACATAAATCCACAATCTTCGTTATTAAAATTTAAAAGTGCATGAGGAATTTGTGAAATTCTCATAGGCAGCCTGCTGGAGAACGTGGGAACAGTCTAGACCAGGGACCCCTTTTGTTATACGCTACCCAACAATAGATGAAGAGAAGGGCTGACCCAGGTGGGGAAACCAGAGTGGAGAGAATAGGAGCCATGGGTCCAAGAGCACTCATAGGCAAGAGCTTGGATCAGTTACTGGATTAATTAATCAGGAAGATGAATGCTGTCTTTACATATTTATGAAGACTGAGCTCTTACCAGCTCAATGAAGCTGTGCTATGGGAAAAGGCAGAGACTGTGCAGAAATAGTCACCACTGATTTGGAAACTGTTTCATTTCCTGAGCTAATAACCAAACTCATTCCTCAGAGAGGAACAAAAACTGTTATTCTGGGGTGGGAAAACATCTATGGATCATCTGATACAAGCAGCAGCTGTAACCAAACCACTGGTATTGTCACCCTCTTTGGGAGTCCCATTTATTCATGGTAGAGAAGGTTTCAGTCTTCCATGGCTCTTGATAACTCTGGCAGTTACAGTTGCCAGTAGCGTAAGTTAAGACTGTTTATTAAGGGTTTTGTGGCAGGGTGCAGACATTGATATAGACCAAATTGGTCAGAAAGACGAAGAACACACAGAAAAACATGGCCTGTATTCCACTTTATGTGGATTTAGGTTTGTGTCCTCATCTTTACCTCGGCTCTCAAGAGGTATGCATGAGCATGGGTGTGCGTGCGCGTGCACACACACACACACACATCAGCCACTGTGTTCTTCCACTAGACTTCAATTTTGCCCTCATTAATGGAACCACTAAGAATATTTTGAAATGCTTTTTTTTTCTTTCTTTCTTTTTTTTTTTTTTGCTGTTTTATTTGCGGCATGACTACTTTTCTTAGTGCAGATAGGCAATATTTAACAAACAGTCTGCAACATTGCTATTATTCTGTTTTAATTTTTGTTTCTCCTTTTTTTTGGTTCTATTCCTGTATGGGGGAGTTCTTTTTCTTTTTTTTTTTAAATCGTAACATAATTTTAGATTTTGCCTTGTTCATTCCCCACCAAAAGTCAGTCCTTCAGTTTTCAAAGTCATCATCATCTCTGGAGGGTCAAGAGCTAGGACTAAATCAGATCACGGTCATCACTGGCTGCCATTAACCCCTCTGATATATCCATCTGCTTTTCTAATGAGGCCAGAGGCCTGACGACTCATCAAAGCCTCAGGCTTGGTCTTAATGGGAGGATAAGGGTAATGGGGTGCTTTTAAGTTTGACTTTCTTGTTTCCTCCTAATATCCATCCCAGTCCATTTATGAAAGATCACTGACTCCGTGTCAGCCAATTTCTGGCCCCCACATGATTGTCACCACATCTGGATAATGAATCTGCAGACAGCCATGCATCCCTCTGTCGGCACAGGGCAAGATTGCCAGGTGGGAACTTTGTAATTTATAAAATGCCTTCATGTCCATGACCTCCCTCGAACTTACAAACATTTTGGAATGGGAAAGGCAGGTATGATTAGACTTATTTCATAGACTTCAGAACTAATATTCAGAGAGGACAAGTGATGTGCCTGAAACGACTTGGTTAGTAACTAGCAGAGCAGGACTTGAAGGTCTAGGACTCCTTCCATTACAACATGGCTTTTGGGGCAGGGCCTATCTCTTAATAATCTTTGTATTCTCAGTGCCTTTTACAGCATCTGGACCCAGAAATATTCAAATAACACTGGCTGGATGAATAAATGAATGAAAGATTCCTCTGATAACCCAGGATTTCCCCTTGAGGTACCTACAGAAATCTTAAACTTTTCAAAATGTGCTTTCATAAACCATAAAGGCCCACAGAAAAGAAATTATGTATTGTGATTCTTCTTCCTTTTCCTCTAGGCTGAAGACGGACCAGAACCCACAGTGTGCCTGTTTGTGCAGGAGTGAGTGCAATCTCCCAGAACAGAACACTCCCACACTTGCTGTTGCCTTTGCCCATCAGTGCGGCCTGGTCCCTTTAATTCAGTTGTGGAGAGTGACTCAGGAAATGAATCTTTCTCTAGAGTGCTTTGCTCATCTTTTCATCTCAGTTCTTGATGACCCTTTCCCTAGTGACTTTTCTTAACTATTTCTCTTTTCTGTTAATGAGGGAAGACCAAGTGTCTTGGGACTCCCATTGGGTTCCACTTAAAAGACAGGCCTGGTGCTCAGCCTCGTGTGGGACAGGGCTGTGTCCAATAAGTTATAAGCAGCTCCACTAATCAGGCTGTTAGAGTCCTCCTGTGGCCTCGAGGCTTTCCTGGGCGTGAAGTGTTATTTAAAGATAAGAAAATGTGGAGTAGGCTGGCCTTTGGACCTGTGGACTGCAAATGCCATTCTGTCTTCCCCTACTAAATAATGCTGGGATTTGGTCAAGTCCTTGATCCTGTTTCTCCACCTTTAAACTGGAACTAACCTCACTTGCCCTGCATTACTTCCCAAAGTGAGTTGTAAGGATGACCTACTTTATGATGACAGCTATAAATGGGATGGAAATAAGGATGAATTTCTCAGGAAGTGTGGCCAAGGTGCTATTATAGAGACTGTCCCCCTTCAGATCTAGTCTAGCTGGATAATACATAACTGAGGATTTTCCTCTCTGTGCCCACACAGGTATGTGGCATATCTGATATGGCCTTGAATGCCCAGTATCTGGGGATGTTTGCTCACATGAATGAAGGAACGAGTTCTCGCATCTTCCTCTCTATTTCTGTAACAGGGATACCGTAATTATCAGAGGAATATTCTTACATAGGCTCAAACATTTCCTTCTTCTCGTCTAGGTCATCTTGTCTGGGCATTTCACAAATCCTTCCTCAGTTTTCCAGAAAAAGAAAAGTGAAGCAGATATGTCTCAACCACTTCCCTCTAGACTCAAAGCAGTAGCCCATCACTCATTTCCCCTTTGTGCAGTGCTTAATGTTTTTTGTTTGCTTGTTTGTTTTTGCTTTCCAGACTTTTGTTCTTGTCTGTAAGATTAAATTTTATCTGAAATTGTCATCTTCACCATGGGTGAGCCCTGATGAGCTGCTTACAGATATGTCACACTCTCCCTGCAAATCTGAAAGCCTCACCCCTTCTTTCCTCTGTGCTGGTGAGCTCTAACTTGTTCACCATCAGTCCTCAGTGCCTGGTATGGAGAAAGTGCTCGCTGAATAGCACTGAAGATGTCAAGTAAATAAATGGAGGGGGCTGAGGGCTTTCAGTGGCCTCACAGTAGTTGGCACAATCTGCTCTAAAACTAAAATCAAATATAATATTTGATGAATCAGTCAGAGAACATTTTGGAAGTGAATCACAATTTTACTGGTGGCCACCTCAATGGCCACTTCAAGTTCAACCTCCCCTGAAGTCTTCCTGATAACTCCAGCCAACCATGGTCTTTCCTTTCTTAACCACTCTTGTGTTTACTGATTTTTATTTTTTATTTTTTTGAGACAGGGTCTTGTTCTGTCGCCCAGGCTGGAATGCAGTGATGCAGTCTTGGCTCACTGCAACCTCTGCCTCCCAGATTCAAACAATTCTCGCACCTCAGCTTCCCAAGAAGCTGGGATTACAGGCATGCACAATTACACTTGGTTAATTTTTGTATTTTTTGTAGAGACAGGGTTTCGCCATGTTGGCCAGGCTGGTCTTGAACCCCTGGCCTCAAGCAATCCACCCGCCTCAGCCTCCCAAAGTGCTGGGATTACAGACAAGAGTCACTGCGCCTGGCCTATTGAATGTTTTTGTGGGTTATCACAATGTTATTCATTCTGCAATATATTGTCTATTAATATTTGCATGTCTGTGTGCCTCCTCTCCCCTTGATTATAAATTCTATCCAGGGGCTAATTCAGATTTTGGAGGGTTTGAAGCTTATATAATTCTGGGGGGAAAAAAGATAGTGCATCTCTAATTGTATGTACTACAGTATCAAGTATTTTCCTAACAGAAAACAACTTTGCCTTTGCCTGGGTGTTGGAAAGATCAAATCCTCTTGCTGCATTTGTACACATCTGATCCTTGATTGGAAGAATTTTTGACAGCCTAGCTTCTAGTTCCACTCTCTTTTAACCTTAGGTCTTCTCAGCCAGGTGCTTCCAGTTCCAGAACCCTATGGCACAGTCACAGCATGAATCAATCCAGGATCCTGGATGTTCGTGTCTACTGCTCTTTACATTTTGTCCCAGGGCCACATCAGACACAGTAAGTGTCTGGTGTCTCCTTTTGACAAGTGTTTCTCTCTGGCTGTCCTCTTGACTGTTAATCTCTGGCAGTATACTCTTGTTGGCAGTCCTTAGATTTGCATTTTTAGGAAGTCCAAAGTGGAATAAAATCTGCTTTTAAACTTTCTTCCAACCAGACATAGTCCATATTGACTAATAGGACATAAAGTAAGATATATTTTCCCTCTGTAAGCAAGAGACTGGGTAATTAAACATGGTACCCATAGCTCCTGTTCCTAGGCCCTTGTGGGAGTATTATAATTAGTCTTTTCATTGTTGAACTTGAGTCTGATGTTCTAGCAGGATAAGTCCAGTTCTACGGATTGAATGAACATAAATCATTGATAGCAGAGGGGTGGGTGTGGAAGGATGGAGTGCAACAAAGAACAGACGGTGTTGGGAGAAACTGGAGGTTGTGTTATCTTGATTAAGAGATTAGATGTGAGTCGGACAGACCTAAGTCCTGCCTCTTAAAACCTAGGTGATTTGAGGTAAGTCATGTATGCTTTCTGAGCCTTAGTTCTTCATTTGTGAAATGAAGAGAATAACCCCATGAGGTTGTGAGGATTCATGAGCATAAAGCTCTTAGCACAGACCCATCTAGTAAGCACTTCAGAAGTGTTGGATATCATTTCTTTACTTCTAACATTTCTCTCTCTTCTAGGTCTGTCTAGATATCTAGATAGCTGATGTCTTTGGTTGTGTTCACCTTCTCCCAGAATTCAACCTCTTTAGCTGTTTTCTAAAGACAACTCTTTTTGACCTCTGGGCCAGAGCTTAGTCATTTTCTGCTCCTACTTGCCTAAAAGAAGTGTCTTGTGCCTAAAAGAAGTGTCTTGTGCCTAATAACCCCTCCCATTCATTTAGCAGTCTGTCGTTTACAAAGTCTTCAAAACGCCCCATGGGGGATTGTGTCACCTTGCGCCCACTGGCCTCTGCCTTCCTGTCCTCGCTCCTCAAGCTCCTGCTCAGCAAGGAGGCTCTATGCTGGGGGCTCCTGGTCTGTGAGGCTCCCCCTTGCTGACCCTTAACTCCTCATTCAGACCTTACCACTGGGGTTACTTCAGAGAGGCCTTGAGCTTCCACCCCACAGTCACTCTGCATCATAGCACCTTATTTTACTATTTCACTGCATTTTTCACTCTCTGATATTTGACTTATTATCCAACTTCTCACCTTAGAATATAAGCTTTGTGAGGACAGCAATTTTGCCTACTTTGTCTCCTCAGGATGTGCGTTATCAGCGGGGGCAATAGCACCCTCAAAGGGGCAAAAGTTGGTTCTTGGGGGCCAAAAACATCCTCCTCTTTTTTAAAAAATGTTTTTAAAATTTTTGGCTGGCTGCAGTGGCTCACACCTGTAATCCCAGCACTTTGAAAGGCCAAGGCAGGTGGATCACTTTGAGCTCAGGAGTTCGAGGCCAGCCTGGGCAACATGGCAAAACCCCGTCTCTACAAAAAATGCAAAAATTAGCCAAGGGTGTTGGCATGCTTCTGTGGTCCCAGCTACTCGGGAGGCTGAGGCTAGAGAATCGCTTGAACCCAGGAGGCAGAGATTGCAGTGAGCCAAGATCATGCCACTGCACTCCAGCCTGGGCAACAGAGTGAGACTCTGTCTGAAAAAAATTTAATTATTATGGCTCCATAATAGTTGTATATATTACTTTTTCATGTATAAAGCACAAATACAGCACACAAATAGGTATATAGTGTATACATGGTATCAACATTTGGGACATAATGAGGACAAAAATATTTTAAAAGTCTCCTTAGGATAATGAAAAGAAAATGATTGAGTACTCTGTTGAGTCCTGAGCATATAGTAGATTCATCAATAACATCTTTTAATGATTAAACATACCCTTTAATAGCTGCAAAAACTGAAGTTCAGAGAGGTGAAGTAGCTAGCCTCAGGGCATAAGGTTAATCGACAGTAGAACTGACTCTCCAACTTCTGTTTCCCCTGAGTCTCGTGTTTTTTATTCTAAGCTACCCAGTAAATGTTCCATACGTGCTTTTTGAATTGACTTGAACATATTAGATGTTCCCACAAGAGGAAGCAAAGAAAAAGTGTATTTTCTAAGTGACACAGCAAATGATCTCAGGAAGTCATTCTCTTCAGAAGAGTCCAGCTAATCTTCTTTCTCAGGGGGCATTAATGATGGGTTATACATGGCTTACCCTTAAAATGGGAGTCAGTTTCATCTCCTACTCTCAATAAAATAAGGAAGAAAAGGTGAGTAATGTTTTTAGTGTCTTAGTAATTGTTTCACAAAATCTCTGGGCCAAAAGAAAGAACTAACAGTTCCATTTATGAAGTAGTCAGGTAGAAATAGCTTAGTAAGAATTTATATACAAACAATTTAGTGCCTGTTGGACACTGCACAGTCTCATGCCTTGGAATTTGATCAGACACCATCACTCTCATTTCTTGTTCCACATTGATTTTTTAGGGGTACTTGCCTTTCATCACAGCCATTGCTAGAAACCTAGCTTTGAAGAGATTTGATGTCATTGGAAGAAATATAATAACCTAATTTTGAAACTGTGAACTACCTCAAGTTAGTAGTTTGTATGGTGTCTGACAAATGTTGCTGTGATTCCCTTGAAAATCAAAAACATCCTGAGACACTCCTTTGAGTTCACTGTACACCCTCAGGTGCCCAGTGCAGTTTGAAAACTGGCAGGGGAGCAAGGCAAGGTACAATGCTGGTGCGAGGTAGAGCAGTGGCAGAGGAGTTAAAAAGAAGGGAAATTTTGAAAAATATTTACAAGTGAAAAGTTGGAGGCAGGGAGAACTGGTCCAAAAATCCTGAATGAACAGGATATGGAGATGGAGGAAAGAAGTTTGGGAAATGGAGTTTGGACCTGGGTGACTGGCCAACTCCAATGTAGTAGGTAGCTCTTAGCTCCATCTCCACTTTCTCGAGAATGACACCCATCCTCCACATAGGACTGGGCCCTGGCAGTCATATTAATCTCATGAGACTCATCTCTCTGGCAGAAGATAATTGGACCAAGGGATCTGTTGCATTTGAGTCAGCCTAAACCAATCAGATTCTCTCCTAAGAATCTGCAGTTAAGACTTGTTTGAGTTTTCTATGGTTGCTTCAGGAAATGACCACAGACTGAGTGGTTCAAACAACAGAAATTTATTCTCTGATAGTTCTGGAGGCCAGAAGTCCATACTTTAGGTGTCAGCATGGCCGTACTCCCTCTGGAAGCTCTAGGGGAAAGCCCTCCTGAGATAGAAGGCCAGACTCAACTCTGGAGGCAGGACTCCACTCTGGGGGTGGTGCTTGGACACCAGAAAAAAATGGAAGACTAGCTAAAACAGGGACACAGAAGCAACTTTCCATAAGACATGCCCATCAGTGTGCCATGTCAGTTTACCCTTGCCATGGCAACACCTGTAAGTTACTGCCCCTTTCCATGGCAACAAACCAATGATCTGAAGTTACCACCCTTTTTCTAGAAATTTTTGCATAACCTGGCCCTTAATTTGCATATAATTTACAGTGGGTATAACTATGACTGCAGAACTGCCCTGGAGCTGCTACTCTGGCCACACTGCCTATGGGGTAGTCCTGCTCTGCAAGGAGCAGTACCTTTGCTGAACACTGCTACTTCAGTGAAAGTTGCTGTCTAACACCACTTCCTTACCCTTGAATTCTTTCCTGGGTGAAGCCAAGAACCCTCCTGGGCTAAGCCCCAGTTTTGGGCTTGCCTGCCCTGCGTCACTTCCTTGCCTCTTCCAGCTTCTTCTGGCTGTTGGTGTTCCTTGGCTTCTGTGGCTGCACTGCTCCAATCTCTGACTCTGTGATCACAATGCTTCGTCCTTATTATGTTTTTGTCTTCTCCTATTCTGTCTCTTACAAAGTCATTGGATTTAGGGCCCACAAAGTAAGTAATTCAGAGTGACCTCATCTCAAGATCCTTATCTTAATTACATCTGCAAAGACCCATTTTCTGAATAAAGGAACATTCAGTCTTGGTATCAGGCTGTAGACATCTTTCTTGGGGCCACTGTTCAATCCACTATACTTAGAGATGCATGTGAGAAGACAGATATGTGGGGGACTGGGATGACTATTTCGCAAGATTTAGGTAGAGAAGTAGAGAAACACAGGTCTAAGGTGAAGGAGAAAAGTGATGTGGAGAGAGAAGCAAGAATAAAGGGACATATGAGAGCAAAGAGAGACCAAGAGACAGGCTCTGCTTTGTTTCTGTTTAACTTTCTAGTTCTTAGTATGAGTCTCTCAGGAAGCCCAGCCATTTTCAGGTTCCACAATTTACTTGAATTTTTCAGCAAATTTTTCTATTTGCTGGTTTGAGTGGGTTTCTGTAATTTATAACAACTTGACTAAGACAAAATAGAACAGCTGGACGAGTAGGGAAGTTGGTAAACCTTCAGTCTTCTTAAGACTGTAATTAATGCCACACAAACATTAACAGAAAATTCTGATAGTGGCTACTCACAAAAAGAGGATGAGCAAATTTTTTTTTTTGTTTTACACAAAACAGAAGTTGTTTCTAGACATAATATTGCCAGAAATCATATCACATGAGAAGCTGCTGAAGATGCTTAGGAAGTTTACCCAAAAAAACAAAGGGCTGTGATGGATAGTTTTTGAACTTGAAAGACCATCCTATATAAGAATAATTAGATGTTTTATTGGGAGTCACATTCTGAGTTAATTTAGGAAGAAGTTTCTAAAAATTTTAGTGGTTCAACAATGGAGCAGCCTGGTGCTTGATCTTAGATTTGAGAAAGTGTAAGAAGTAAGCATCCTAAAAAAAGACCAGGAGGCCCTTGAGTTCAGGGGCTGTGTCTTGTTCATCTTGGTATTCTCAGTACCTAACACAGGGTCTAGTGCTTAGCAGGTTCTCTTTCAATGCTTGCTTAATAAATAAAAGAATTAAGAGCAGAAGTTTTAACAGAAGTTGAGTGACTATTTGGGGTGATGTCAAAGAGATAGAAGACTGGACTGAAGAATAATGATTATTAATAATAATGACAGCTTTCATTTATTAAGACTTTGGTTTGTGTTATCTTATTGATTGATTGAGGCAGGGTCTGGCTGTGTTGCCCAGGCTGGAGTGCAGTGGCGTGATCTTGGCTCACTGAAACTTCTACCGCCTGGGCTCAAGCAATCCTTCCACCTAAGCCTCCCAAGTAGCTGGGACTATAGGTATGCACCACCACACCCGGCTAATCTTTGTATTTTTTTGTAGAGATGGAGTTTTGCCATGTTTCCCAGGCTGGTCTTGAACCCCTGAGCTCAAGCCATCTGCCCGCCTCAGCCTCCCAAAGTGCTAGGATTACAGGTGTGAGCCACCATGCCCAGCCGTTATCATCTTATTTAATCTTCAAGAACCGTATATGGTAGTTGCCCCTGTTTTGCAGAAGTGGGAACTGCAACACAGGGAGGTTAAGTAGCAAACTCTACACAGGCAGTAAGTGGCAGAATTTGAGTTATCTCCTAATAGTCAGAAAAATTACTGCACATGTATTGAACAATTACTATGTTCTAAGAGTTTTATACACGTTGATCTCTAAGGTGTTTTACAATGATGAGTCTATGATTTCTTGATATCTGCCACCCATGTTCTTGCCCAGGACCGTCCTCTGCCTGGGTAAGTCAGAGGCTTGGGGCCCTCAGCATAACCAGCTTCCTTTACCATTCTGAAGTCTGAAGTAGTTCAGTTTTCACTGCTCATTGACTCAATTATCTGCTCACACCTTAGAAAAGACAAAGCACTGGCCTCATCTCTCCAACTCAATCCAAGTATGTTGTTCCTTAGGAGTCAGACATCTCTCATTAAGAATGGAGAAGTCTTCATCCTTTCAGTTAGCCTCTTTAATTTAGGGGAAATGTAAGTTAACAACAAAAAAAGATTTTCAAATCTGATTTACTTTCTAATAGTATAATTAACCTTCAGTGGGCTATCCATTTCTAGCTGAGTGGCTTTTTTGTTTTTGTGTTGCTTTTCCTGGGAAGGCTGCATGCCTGTCTGCCTGTCTATTGGCACTAAGAACATACCAGCCTTCTATCATTGGGGAGTTGCTGTGAACAGCCTCAGAGGAGCAGCCCCATAGCTGCTGGCCACTGGTTTTTGCAGCCTCAGCACCCCTAACCCCTTGGGGATGGGAGATTAAACACTGGTCTTAGGTCTGAGGTGCAGGTGCTATGTGACTTTAGATAATCCATATTCCTCCCTGAAATAATATGCACTTTAATATTTAACTTTATACATATTCTACTGTTCTGTATACTTCAAGATGAATACATGTTTCTGTCTTTATTTATAGCCTATTTTGTATTTTTAGGAAGCCCTTGAGCCAAACAAGCATGACTTGTGGGTGGCAGTCATAAAGCAACTTAATAATTGTCTTCTAGTCTCTCTTTAAATTTCCTCTGTGTGGCCAATTATTTCCCTGCCTGTGGGTAAACTCAGTTAGATGCTGAGACTTTTATGGACCTTTGTAGGTGTTAAAACACAGCCTCAATACAATTGCTCAAATGTTCTGTCTAAGGTGATAATCAAAACTGTTAAAAAGTTGCAGCTTCTCTCCTATTTTATTTTAGGCCTGCTGCAGACAAGAGACCTACAGTTGGAGAATGGAAGCATAGCCACCTTCTTCTCTCCTTTTTGTTGCCTTTTTGTGGGTTCATTGACATCTCTACACCTGTACCCTCAGCTGGAGAACTCTTTCCTGGCCTCTCTGGCATTGGGGCACGGGTGGAGGAGAGGAAAGGACAATAAGAAAGTTTTTACTTGTCTGATACTGCTGTGATTAAGCTGATACATCCTCTGGTGGGGCATTTTCAAGAGTCTTTCAAGATAACTTACCCTCGTTGCTGGAAATCCATATCCTGCAGTTCTCTTACTGGGACATCTTTCTTTTGGCTGGTTCTTTCCTTTTTCTTGACCCCTGGGTAACTAGCGATACCCTCAGTATGTTAGTCAGTTTGTGCTGGTGTAACAAAATACCCAAGACTGGGTGATTTATAAAGAACAGAAATTTATTTTTCATGGTTCTGGAGGCTGGGAAGTCCAAGATCAAGGCAACAACAGGTTTGTTGTTTGGTGAGTGGGCAGTCTCTGCTTCCAAGATGGCACCTTGAATGCTGCATCCTCTAGAGGGGAGGAACACTGTGTCTTCACATGGCAGAAGGCAGAAGAGTAAGAGGCATGAACTCCCTCCATCAAGCCCTTTTATAAGGTCATTAATCCCATACATGCGGGAGGAGCCCTCATGACCTAATCACCTCTTTAAGGCTTCACCTGTTAATAGTATCACATTGGCCATTGAATTTCAACACATGAATTTGGAGGGGACACTTTCAAACCATAGCACTCAGTTTTCCTTTTCTGAAACCTCTATCTAAGAGATGGAAAGGGTCTAAAATGACCCTGTACAATCTCTCTTGAATGAACTTCATCTCCTTCATAGAAAGCACTCACACATCTTTTATCTGTAAATCCTAGGGGAAGAAGGAGGGTTGTTCCTAACCAAGCAGTTCTTCTTTGCACTGCTGACTGCTGACTAGTGAGCATATCTCTTGCCCTTTTTAGCATTTCCAGGTAGGATTCAGACACAAGCCCACTGTGCCCTCTGAACTGTAGATGCCACATATTAAACACCCAGTGGCTTCCTCAAAGCCCTTTTCTTTTGACTGGAGATTTGGAGGTGGGACTCACAGCTCAGCTCTTTTTGAAGAAATCCTTCATGAAGATCTTCTTTAGAAATCCTCTTAAATCCCCCACTCCTGGCCCCTCCCCCCCTTTTTTTTGAGACGGTGTTTCGCTCTTGTCACCCAGGATGGAGTGCAATGGCGTGATCTTGGCTCACTGCAACCTCCGCCTCCTGGATTCAAGCTATTCTCCTGCCTCATCCTCCCAAGTAGCTGAAGTAGCTGGGATTACAGGCACCCCCCCCCCCCCCCCGCCGCCACCATGCCCAGCTAATTTTTTATATTTTTAGTAGAAATGGGGTTTCATCATGTTGGCCAGGCTGGTCTTGAACTCCTGACCTTAGGTGATCCACCCGCCTCAGCCTCCCAAAGTGTTCGGATTACAGGCGTGAGCCACTGCACCCGGCCTTCTCCTGACTCTTTTATACACTCAGTGTGCGGAAGATTTAAGAGTTGCCTAACTTGTTTTACTTCTAAATTCTTCATCTATGTTCTTTATTTGAAATTTGCTATTTATCATGCCTCTACCAAAATGTCTATTTTAACATCTGTAATGAGATTTCACTTGTTTATTCAAATAGCATTAAGCTCCCACTAGACCAGCACAGTCCACTAGCAATATAATACAAGGTGCATATGTAATTTAACACTTTCTAGCAGCCAGATTTAAAAAAAGAAAAAAACAGGTGAAATGAGTTTTAATAATATATCTTATTTAACATAATATATCTGAAGCATTATCATTTCAATATGAAATCAATTTAAAAATACTAATGAGATATTCTACATTCTTGTTTTACACTAGGTCTTTGAAATTTGGAGTCTACACTTACTCCACATTCCATTTAGGACCAGCTACACATTCAGTGGTCGATAGCCATAAATGATGAGAGGCAACTGTAGTGGAGCAGTAGTACAGTAGTAGACTGTAAGTTCTGTAGGCAAAGTTGGTGTCTGTCTTGTTCATTGTTATAAACAACAGTGTTTGGCATAGAGTAGGCATTCAATATTGTGAAATTGAACTAAATATAATTGAAAGAATGAAGACATTACCAAGGGAATCCTTCAATGTTTCCCCACAGCACTTACAGTCTAAATCATTCAATTCTGCACGCAATTAGTTGGCCCACATAGTTTGTAATTAAATTATTCCACAAGCATTTAAGGTTCACAAAGGAGGAAGCATCTTCATCTTGTTATCTGTTGTATCTCCCAGTCAACCACAGTTCCTAGTATTGTGATGTGTAGATTCATGCAATCAACAAATATTTATTTAGTGTCCACGCCAGGCCAGTTACTATTTTAGGTGCTGGGGATACTATAAGGGGGACACAGTCTCTGTTCTCATGGAGCTCACAGACAATAAAAAGTTACAAGAGCTTTGAAGGAAATAAATAAGGTGACATGAGAGAGTGTGATGGAGGACAGAGCAAGGAAGTACGGAGGAGAAGGAGACAGTATTGTGAAGAGCCAGGGAAGGGCAATCTGAGTGTGTCTTTTTGAGGCAGCCACATTGACTTTTCATTTTCTCGAATTCTCCAAACTCATTTCTGCCTGTAACTTTCTATTCCTTTTTCTTGTGCTGCCCACCCTCTCCCTTGCTCTTCTATAGCTGGTATCTTCCCATGTCTCAGCTCAAACGCAACTGTCTCCTCAAAGACACCCTCCCTAACCACCTGTCTACTGGGCTCATCACCCTTGACACTTCCTATCACATCCTGACATTTTGTTTAGTACCACAACCTGAAATGATCTTGTTTATGCTTCTATGAAATTGCCTTGACAATTGCTATCTTTCAATGCTGAGAAAAGTGTCCCTATGACAAATATATGACCCACAATTAGTGATCAATAGATATTTATTAAATGAATGAATGACTGAAGGTCAAGAGTTAAAGCATTTGGGAGATGTCTCAAGTCATGGTTTGAATAAATGTAAATGAAGTCTAGGAAGAACCACACTCTATTTGTCTGGTTTCTCTGAGAAGGAAGATGGGGTTAATGGATGTGGGATTTATACTCTTGCGCCGTCTCGGGCATGGGGCAACCTGAGTTTTGGTTCCAGCTCCTTTGAGAATCTACAGCTATGGACCATCTGACCGGGTAAATGGCCACAAACTTTTGCTTATAACTTAAGGGGGTTCGTGGACCTCCTGAAGAGGTCAAAGGACCACAGGTTAAAAATTCCTGTAGAGATAAGAGATTTCCACAGCAACACTGGGAGGCAGGAGGCAGGTGTTCAATGAGATAATGCACGAAGCATCTTTAAAGAACTAGGCCTGGCGAAGTGTGGCTTTGGGGAGAGGTGGTGTCCGAAGAATCCTTGGAAACCAAATTCTTTTGCACCTAGCAGCTGGGGCGGTGGTTGCTATTGACGCTTGCCTCCTCCAATCATCGCGCGGCTTGCTAGGCTGTGCGGCTCCGTGGTTACCGTGGCAACGGACGGCAACAGCTCGGGCGGCGCATGGAGAGTGCGGGCGGCTTCAAGCTGGGTATGGAGCCCCTCAGCGGCGGCGGGGTCTGTGAGTTGGACGCGGGGTCTTGGCGGGGAATGGAGGTAGAATAAACGTGGGACCCGGAGTGCACCAAGGTCAGAGGTCCTCGCAGAGATTGTGGGGTCAAAGTGTGAGGGACATGGGGGCTAACCGGGGCGTCCCCTCTTTTCGTCCTCGTCCTCGCCCTGCGTCCCAGGCGTTCTCCAGACTTTCCAGACCCCTCCCCTCCTCAGCCTTCCCTAGCCACTTCTCACTCCCATGAAAGTTACGGGACCTCGGATTTTTGTTCTTGGGATTCCCCTGCCAGACAGGTAGCCTGAAGGGCAGAAGGCCTGAGGTGCTGCCTCGCTTCCAACTTGGAATTAGCCCCAGGCCTTGGACGAATCATTTCCCGTCTTACCGGGGAAAATGGTAAAATTCACCTCTTTTAGGTGTACAGTTCCAAGAGTTTTGAAAATATAAAGTTCTGTACTGTATTAATCTGTTATCATTCTGCTAATAAAGACATATCTGAGGCTAATTACAAAGAAAAGAGGTTTAATTGACTCACAGTTCCACTTGGCTGGGGAGGCCTCACAATCATGGTGGAAGGCAAAGGAGGAGCAAAGTCGTGTCTTATATGGCGGCAGGCAAGAGAGCATGTGCAGGGGAACCTCCCCTTTATAAAACCATCAAATCTCGTCAGACTCAGTCACTATCATGAGAACAACCCAGGAAAACCCACCCCCATGATTAAGTTACCCACCATGGGGTCCCTCCCATGACACGTGGGGATTATGGGAGTTATAATTCAAGATGATATTTGGGTGGGGACACAGCCAAACCATATCATGTACTTACTGCAATAAGTATGTAGAATGATTCCATTAGCTCAGAAAGTATCTCTTGTACCTCATTGTAGTCAATGCCCCTTCCCCACTTCCAGCCCATAGCAACTAATGAAATGATCTGTTTTCTGATTCTGCATTATCCAGAATGTCACATAAATGAAATTATAACATACATAGCACTTTTTGTCTGGCTTGTTATACTTAGCATATTGCTTTTGAGATTTAACCATGTTGTTGTATGTAACAGTAGCTCATTTCTTTTCATTGCTGCGTACTATTCTATTGAATGGATGTACCATCAGCTGATGGACATTAGGATTGCTTCCAGTATTTGGTAATTATTAATAAGTAAAACTGTTATAAATATTCCCATACAGGTATTTGTATGGACATATGTTATTATTTTGATAAATACCTGGGAGTAGGATTGATAGGTTATATGGTAAGTATTAATTTTACAAGAAACTGCCAAATTGCAACCTTGTTAGCAGGTGATCTTTTTTTTATATGTATATATTTTTATTCTCCTTTAAGTTCTAGGGTATATGTGCACAACGTGCAGGTTTGTTACATATGTATACATGTGCCATATTGGTGTGCTGCACCCATTAACTAGTCATTTACATTAGGTATATCTCCAAATGCTATCCCTCCCCCCTCCCCCCACCCCACAACAGGCCCCGGTGTGTGATGTTCCCCTTCCTGTGTCCAAGTGTTCTCATTGTTCGTTGCCCACCTATGAGTGAGAACATGCGGTGTTTGGTTTTTTGTCCTTGTGATAGTTTGCTGAGAATGATGGTTTCCAGCTTCATCCATGTCCCTACAAAGGACATGAACTCATCCTTTTTTATGGCTGCATAGTATTCCATGGTATATATGTGCCACATTTTCTTAACTCAGTCTATCGTTGATGGACATTTGGGTTGGTTCCAAGTCTTTGCTATTGTGAATAGTGCCGCAATAAACATATGTGTGCATGTGTCTTTATAGCAGCATGATTTATAATCCTTTGGGCATATACCCAGTAATGGGATGGCTGGATCAAATGGTATTTCTAATTCTAGATCCTTGGGGAATTGCCACACTGTCTTCCACAATGGTTGAACTAGTTTACAGTCCCACCAACAGTGTAAAAGTGTTCCTATTTCTCCACGTCCTCTCCAGCACCTGTTGTTTTCCTGACTTTTTAATCGCCATTCTAACTGGTGTGAGATGGTATCTTATTGTGGTTTTGATTTGCATTTCTCTGATGGCCAGTGATGATGAGCATTTTTTCATGTGTCTGTTGGCTGCATAAATGTCTTCTTTTGAGAAGTGTCTGTTCATATCCTTTGCCCACTTTTTGATGGGTTTGTTTTTTTCTTGTAAATTTGATTGAGTTCTTTGTAGATTCTGGATATTAGCCCTTTGTGAGATGAGTAGATTGCAAAAATTTTCTCCCATTCTGTAGGTTGCCTGTTCACTCTGATGGTAGTTTCTTTTGCTGTGCAGAAGCTCTTTAGTTTAATTAGATCCCATTTGTCAATTCTGGCTTTTGTTGCCATTGCTTTTGGTGTTTTAGACATGAAGTCCTTGCCCATGCCTATGTCCTGAATGGTATTGCCTAGGTTTTCTTCTAGGGTTTTTATGGTTTTAGGTCTAACATGTAAGTCTTTAATCCATCTTGAATTAATTTTTGTATAAGGTGTAAGGAAGGGATCCAGTTTCAGCTTTCTACATATGGCTAGCCAGTTTTCCTAGCACCATTTATTAAATAGGGAATCCTTTCCCCATTTCTTGTTTTTGTCAGGTTTGTCAAAGATGAGATGGTTGTAGATGTGTGGTATTATTTCTGAGGGCTCCGTTCTGTTCCATTGGTCTATATCTCTGTTTTGGTACCAGTGCCATGCTGTTTTGGTTACTGTAGCCTTGTAGTATAGTTTGAAGTCAGGTAGCGTGATGCCTCTGGCTTTGTTCTTTTGGCTTAGGATTGTCTTGGCAATGCAGGCTCTTTTTTGGTTCCATATGAACTTTAAAGTAGTTTTTTCCAATTCTGTGAATAAAGTCATTGGTAGCTTGATGGGGATGGCACTGAATCTATAAATTACCTTGGGCAGTATGGCCATTTTCACGATATTGATTATTCCTATCCATGAGCATGGAATGTTCTTCCATTTGTGTCCTCTTTTATTTCGTTGAGCAGTGGTTTGTACTTCTCCTTGAAGAGTTCCTTCACATCCCTTGTAAGGTGGATTCCTAGGTATTTTATTCTCTTTGAAGCAATTGTGAATGGGAGTTCACTCATGATTTGGCTCTCTGTTTGTCTGTTATTGGTGTATAAGAATGCTTGTGATTTTTGCACATTGATTTTGTATCCTGAGATTTTGCTGAAGTTGCTTATCAGCTTAAGGAGATTTTGGCCTGAGAAGATGGGGTTTCCTAGATATACAATCATGTCATCTGCAAACAGGGACAATTTGACTTCCTCTTTTTCTAGTTGAATACACTTTATTCTTATAGCTGTGTAGTGGTATCTCATTCTGCTTTTAATTTGCATTTCCTGGTGATTAATGATGTTGAATAACATGCTTACTTGTTATTATATCTTTGGTGAAGAAGTTTGGTGAACTTGGTGAAGTTTCTGTTTGTATCTTTTGCCCATATCATTCATATATATATATATACACACACACACACACATACACATATATATATACATATATATATGACAAAAGTCAGATATTTAATTTGCGAATAATTTCTCCCAGTATGTGACACATCTTTCCTTTTTAAAACATTTTGTTACTGAAATGCCAGGGGTTTGATCTAGATCTCATTGTTTACAGCACAGAAAGCCAATCACTGGAACAAAGAGTACTGCCAGGGAAGAAGGCTTTATTTGGGTGCTGCAGCTGTGGAGATGGGAGATAGTCTCAAATTGTCTCACTAACTGACTAAAATTGGAGATTTAAATACCAGGGAAAGAATGTAGAAAACAGGAATTAGGGAGGAGTAAGGAAGAGGAATCTGGTCTCTCACTGTCTGGATGCGGTGATCTGGTGAGTTTCAGTTCCTTTATACTCTCTGGGAGGCCCGAGCGTCAGTTTTCTAAGAAAGGAACTCAGATAAGATAAATATAAGTTTCAGGCTTAAGACCAAGAGGGCCAATTTCTGTTTATTTAAAAAGACCATAAACATCAGTTCTGTGAGGAAATTGGGCTGGTTTCAATTTTCTTCATAATGTCTTTGAAGTCAAAAGTTTTGATGAAGTCTAATCTTACTAATTTTTTCTTTTATGTTTTGTGTGATATCTAAAAACCTTTGGCCTAACACAAGGTAACAAGATTTTCCTCAATGTTTCTTTCTCAGACTTTCATAGCTTTGGGTTTCACATGTAGGTCTTTGATGAGTTTTGAGTTAATTTTTATGTATGACGTCAGGCAAGAGTTGAGGTGTTTTTTTTTCATAAGGCTGAATGTTCCAACCCCATTTGTTAAAGAGACTCTCCTCCCTCCACTTACCTTGGCACCTTTGTCAAAAATCAGTTGACCATGTATGTGTGAATACATGTTTCTGATTTATCAATGTAACAGAATATTCCAGAAAAATATGAATAATTTTTGTTTCTCAAATGAACTACCAGTCATTTTAACAGCATAAAATCGATTTCTTGATAACTTTACAGTGAATTTTGAAATCTGGTAGTTTGAGTCCTTCTACTTTGTTCTTATTTTTCAAAATTGAATTGGCAACATTGGTTCCTTTACCTTTCCATACAAACTTTAGAATTAAAGGTTAACATCTCCAAAAATATCTGCTGGCATTTTGATTAGATTTCATTGGAGTATAGATTAATTTGGGGAGAATTGGCATCTTAGCAATACTGAATCTTCCAATTTATGAACATGGTATACCTCCTTTGATTTAGTCCTCTTTAATTTCTCTCAATGATGTTTTATAATTTTTAACATGCAACTTTTGCACATGTTTTGTTAGCTCTGTTTTTATTTTCTGTTTTTTGATGCTATTGTATATGATACTGTTTTAAAATTTTCAGTTTCCAGTTGTTCATTCCTTGTTTCATACCCAATCAAATGTTAAACCTCATTCAAATGTCTTGGTGGGGAGAACTGTGTTGTGTTTGTTGCAAGCCCCTCCTCCTTCTTTCTGAACCTCAAGTTCTAAGCACCAAGAGACTTTAGCAGATTTCACTCTGTGTTTCATCCCACAATACCTATGGCCAGAATCACCCCCAAAATGATGGCAGGAGATTCCCCACAAGGGAGTGCCCCAAACTGTCCAGAGATAGGGCCGGTTGGGATTCCAAAAAAAGAAGGAAAGACTAAATGCCAGAGTGGTCAATCCAAAGCATTTATTGGGGAAACTTACAGAGTGCTGCAGCAGTCCTCAAAATGAACAGTAAGAGAAAACAGGTGTTCTACCTAGGTATGACTGCAGTGAGGGGGTCAGGGTATGAGAGTTTAAGGAATTTGGCTCAGGGCCAGGGCTAGTTTCTTTTTCAGTGTTGTGGGCAGCAACCTAGATACCTTTATCAGTGCCTAGGAATGTTCCAGGCCCAGGTTTGGGTTCAAGTCTGCTACGAAAAACCTGCAACTGGATAGATCACAGAGCAGTCAGGACACAGAAAGAAAGTAGTGGGGAACGGAGAACCCTACACTCTTTCTCATTCAACTTCAGAGCTCTCATGCTGTTCCACTTCTCAGAAAATCACCCATAGGGGAATCTGGCCCTCGCTTTTTAGGTTCCTGTTCGTCTTGCCAGATTTTACAACCATCACCTATTCTGTTGGTGCTTCCTCTTACCTTAAGAATCCTCTGCCTGAGCCAAGCTGGATTGTCTCCCTGTGCCTAGAATTAGCAAATGTCCCCAGAGAAAAACATGACCAGTAACTTCAACTCATTGATGAGAGGCCATTTCCCTTCTGAAATTTTAGTTCTTCTAGTCCATTGTTAAAAGAAAAACCTTAGGCCGGGCGCGGTGGCTCACGCCTGTAATCCCAGCACTTTGGGAGGCCGAGGCGGGCGGATCACGAGGTCAGGAGATCGAGACCATCCCGGCTAAAACGGTGAAACCCCGTCTCTACTAAAAATACAAAAAATTAGCCGGGCGTAGTGGCGGGCGCCTGTAGTCCCAGCTACTTGGGAGGCTGAGGCAGGAGAATGGCGTGAACCCGGGAGGCGGAGCTTGCAGTGAGCCGAGATCCCGCCACTGCACTCCAGCCTGGGCGACAGAGCGAGACTCCGTCTCAAAAAAAAAAAAAAAAAAAAGAAAAACCTTAGCCAAATTAAATTTAACAGAGTTTAATTTAATTAAAGAATGATTCATCAATCATTTCAGAGCAAAGAACAATTTGCAAATTGAGCAGCCTCTTTTTAAATAATTTTATATTTCAATCATTTTTGAGGTACAAGTGGTTTTTCGTTACATGGATGAGTTCTTTAGTGGTGAATTCTGAGATTTCAGTGTACCTGTCACCTGAGCAGTGTACACTATGCCCAATATGTAGTCTTTTATCCCTTACCCTACTTCTGACTTCCCCAAATGAGTTCCCAAATTTCATCACTCTGTATGTCTTTGCATCTCATAGCTTAGCTCCCACTTATAAGGGAGAACGTATGGTATTTGGTTTTTCACTCCTGGGTTACTTCACTTAGAATAATGGCCTCCAGCTGCATCCAAGTTGCTGCAAAAGACATTATTTTGTCACTCCTTATGGTTGAGTAGTATTCCATGGTATACACATTTTACATTTTCTTTATCCACTTGTTGATCAATGGGCACTTAGGTTGGTTCCATATCTTTGCAATTGCAAATTGTGTTGCTGTAAACATGCATGTGAATGTGTCTTTTTCATATAATGACTTCTTTTCCTTTGGGTAGATACCCAGTAGTGGGATTGCTGGATGAAATGGTAGATCTACTTTTAGTGGTTGTACTAATTTGCATTCCCACCAATAGTGTAGAAGTATTCCCTTTTCACCACATCCCAACCAACATCTATTGTTTTTTGACTTTTTAATTATGGCCATTCTTGCAAGAGTAAGGTGGTATCTCATTGTGGTTTTAATTTGCATTTCCCTGACAACTACTGATGAGCATTTTTTCATATTTGTTGGCTGTTTGTATATTTTCTTTTGAGAAATGTCTCTTCATGTTTTAGCTCACTTTTTGAAGGGATTATTTGTTTTTTTTTTTTCTTGCTGATTTGTTTGAGCTCCTTGTAGATTCCGGATGCTAGTCCTTTGTTGGATGCATAGCTTGCAAATACTTTCTCCCACCCTGTGGGTTGTCTGTTTACTCTTCTTATTATTTCTTTTGCT
The DNA here is from genome assembly GCF_000001405.40 of Homo sapiens. Lineage (NCBI taxonomy): Eukaryota > Metazoa > Chordata > Mammalia > Primates > Hominidae > Homo > Homo sapiens. Next base: position 86,211 of record NW_013171813.1, on the reverse strand, counting down.
TTGCAGAAGCTTTTTAGTTTAATTAGGACCCATTTATTTGTTTTTGTTTTTGTCACATTTGCGTTTAGGGTCTTAGTCCTGAATTTCTGCCTAAGCCAATGCCAGAAGAAGAGTTTTTCCAATGTTATCTTCTAGGATTTTTATGGTTTCATGTCTTAGATTTAAGTCTTTGATCCATTGGGAGTTAATGTTTTTTATAAGGTAAGAAATGGGGACCCAGTTTCATTCTTCTACATGTGGCTTGCCAGTTTTCCCAGCACCATTATTGCATAGGGTGTCCTTTCTCCAATTTATGTCTTTATATGCTTTGTCAAATATCAGTTGGCTGTAATTATTTGGCTTTATTTTTGGGTACTCTGTTCTGTTCTATTGGTCTATGTGCCCATTTTTATACCAGTACCATGCTGTTTTGGTAACTATAACCTTGTAGTATAATTTGAAGTATTGTAATGTGATGCCTCTAGATTTGTTCTTTTTGCTTAGTATTGCTTTAGCTTTGTGAGCTCTTTTTTGGTTCCATGTGAATTTTAGAATTGTTTGTTGTAGTTCTGTGAAGAATGATGTTGGTATTTTGATGGGAATCGCTTTGGGTAGTATGGTCATTTTCACAATGTTGATTCTTCCCATTCGTGAGCATAGGATGTGTATCCATTTGTTTGTGTCATCTATTATTTATTTCAGCAGTGCTTTTTAGTTTTCCGCGTAGAGGTCTTTCCCCTACTTGGTTAAGTATATTCATATGTATTTTATTTTATTTTATTTTTTTGCAGCTGTTGTAAAAGAGATTGAGCTCTTGATTTGATTCTCAGCATGGTTGTTGTTGGTGTAGAGCAGTGCTACTGATTTGTGTACATTAATTTTGTAACCTCAGACTTTACTGAATTCGTTCATCAGATCTAGGAGCCTTTTGGATGAGTCTTTAGGGTTTCCTAGGTATATAATCATATAACTGGCAAACAGTGACAGTTTGACTTCTTTTCCAATTTGGATGCCCTTTATTTTTTTCTCTTGCTGGTTGCTCTGGCTAGGACTTCCAGTATTATGTCAAATAAAAGTGGTGAAAGTGGGCATCCTTGTCTTGTTCTAGTTCTCACAGGGAAGGCTTTCAACTTTTCTGCATTCAGTATGATGTTGGCTGTGGGTTTGTCGTATATGGCTTTTATTATTTTGAGGTAAGTCCCTTCTATGCTTATTTTGTTGAGGGTTTTTACCATAAAGGGGTGCTGGATTTTTTCAAATGCTTTTTCTTCATCTACTGAGATAATCTATGGTTTTTGTTTTTAATTTTGTTTATGTGATATATCACATTTATTGACTTGTGTATATTAAACCATCCCTGCATTCCTGGGATGAAACCCACTTGATCATGATGTGTTATCCTTTTGGTGTGCTGTGGGCAGCCTCTTGAGCCAGAGTAGGCTCAGAAAGACTCCAGTGGAGCCATGTGGTAGAAGATGATTTGTGGATTGAAAAAAGAAAGTGATGTACAGAAAATGGAAATGAGGTACAAAAATAGCCAGATTAGTTACAGCTCATTGCTTGCCTTATTTGAACACGGTTTGAAAAGTTGGCCACCTTTGGCCAAAACTCAGTGATTGGCACAAGAGTAGGCTATGGTCTGTTTACAGCTTCATTTAGGTTATAGTTCACAATGTACAGAGAAACCTTTAGGCCAAACTTAAAATATGTAAGGAGGCAGCTTTAGGCTAAACTTGATTTAACACTATATTTCTTCTATACCTCTCTAATGTCTTAAAGTATATGCTTTTTGTAATTTATCTATTTTATTTTCTAATTGTTGAAGTAGATGCTATCAAATACATTCTTCTTAGAATTAGATATTCTATTCATTGAGTTTTAATTTTTATTATTTTAATTTTCATTTCTTGAATTTCTTTTCCTACAGGATGTTTTTGCTGGTTCTTGTTCAGGGTGCTTTTCCCACTCTCTTAGTATGCTTGTTTATTTTGACCAAGAGCTGCTTATTGTCCTTGGAAAATTATTTATGGGAAGTGTTTGATGACTAAAATGAAGGAGGACCTCAGAGAGGTCCTCAGAGAAGGAGGTTCATCAGAGAGGGTTTGCATTTGCCTCTGTTAGGTACCTCAGGGAACTACCTGTCCAGGCTTATTTTAAAGTAAAAATCATACTTTGAGGCTTTTGGAGCTCACAGGTGATATGAATTTGGGCTGTACATCTCTAAGAGAGTTGGCTGTGATTCTAACCTTTCAGGGTTTTTTTTTTTTCTTTATACCTTTCTCTCTGTTAGGTGCCAAGGAATCGTCCCCTGCATTCAGCTGGGAATGGTGGGATAGGAAGGCTTTATTTTTGACCCAAACGTTGAAAGTGTACACCTTTGGAGTGGAGTCAACTATCAGTCTCCCCACCTTTGATGGGTCCTGGGTGTTGACCTTTCCTGGAAGCCCTACCAGGCAGCCACAAGCAGAGCTCAGGGTGTCCTTGTCTAGAGGATTATCTCCTACCAAATTTGTTTCAGTGCTCCACTTACCTTTCTTGGTCCCTGTTTTCAGTTAGATGTTGGCTAGATAATTCCTTATGGTCTTGTTAGCTTTTTGATGCTTTTGAGAAGCTGAAAAAATATTTTAGCCAGCATTTTTAGTTGTTTTCAGCAGGAGAGTTGGTTCAAACAAACCAGCATAACCTATATTAGAAAACAATGTATTACTTTGTAGTCTTAATTTTTAGCACAGTCATTTACATACTCCTTGTAAAAAATTAAATACCTTAGAAATGTAAACATGAAAGGCTTCTCATTACTCCACTCTCTCTCCTAGTCTGGTTCCCCAGAGGTAACTATTCTTAATAATTTTTGTATTGAATCATTTATTGAGAGCATCAGAGTAAATCTTTCGTGAAACCTGGATGTATTCGCTGTATACATGTGTGACAAAGATGGAAAAATTCAGGTTTAGCAAATGCCAGCTGAAGAATATATACATGCAGACTAGTGACTTAAATATTTTCTTTTTATGTGAAGTGTGTATTTTATTCTATATTATATCTAAAGATGTGACAATGAATGCATGTCAGAAGCTCTTAGAAAATGATACTTGTAAGTTGGTATTTCATTTTATGTCTTGTATACAAGGCCAAATTAGAGTTATTTGGGGGAAGGAATACTTCTGGCTTGTGTGTGAGAATGATTTATGCAATCACAAAGTAGAAGGAAGTTATTACCCCTTAGTAGTTATATAGTTTCACAGGCTTTAAGAATAGTTTTGAGAATGTTTCTTCACTTTAGCAGCAGAAACATTTAGAACATGAAAACGCTCATCAGGTTTGAAAGAAACTCATAGCCTGTTAGTATTGAAACCATGTTTTAATTGGTACACATTCGGGATCTGTGTAATAGATTTTTGACCCTGGATGTGTCAGCCCTCAGATTTTATGTTTATGTTAATCTTCTGGGGGATAGTGTTCATAGCCATCATCAGATTTCCAGTAGGACCTGGACCACAAAGGTTAAAGAGCACTGGTTTGGGATGAGTACATTTCAGAACGCAATGGACCGAAATACGCTGAACCACAGTTACCATCATTAAAAGTGAAACGACAACTCATTCCTGAGGGCAAACTTTTTCTTTCAAATAATTTCTTCCAAGATCTGTTTCCTCATTAACACTGCAGAAGCACTTAGCATTTGGCTGCTCTTCATACAAAATGTCGTTTGAGAGGGATGGGGGCTTGGAATAAGGCAAAAATAATTGTAGGATTATTGCTGGAAGGGTTTCAGGTGAGGAAAATTGACATATCATAAAATGCCTCTAATGCAATTTAATTTGAAAAACTGTGCAATCTTTTAATTTATTTGGATTCAAAGTGTTTTAGTTATCTGATTTTTTTAAAGGGTCATATTTATCCCTTGAGGTGGTATGGAGGAAAAGTGGACTTTTAAAAATTGTTCTGTGCTTGATAGAAAGGCTTGTTAGAAAGTATTGGTTCAAATAAACCAGCATATCCTATGTTAGATCCTATATTCTTAAAGGGGTGATATTCATCTTAATATGAATACCAAATCCTATACTAAATCCTATATTCTTAAAGTGGTGGTCTTCCTCTTAATACCAAAAAGTCAACTTGGTTGACTTTAAAGAAAAATTAGTGTGAAATGACTAGAAAAAGCAATCTCTTGTAATTTCACTGGCAATGCATAAATCTGCCCCTTATTTTTTTTTTAAAATGGCATCTTCTTGCTTTAATAAGCTATCTAAAATGTCCTGAATGTAAAGTTGCTCTAATAACATTATGATCTGACTGTATCTGTGTCTGTTTTTATTTCTTTAAACTGCTATTATGAGCCTAAGTTAAACAACTTTGCCTAATTCTATGTTCTGTACAACTATGTTGTTGATGCTCATTTTTATTATAAACAATCCACCCAAATTTGCAGCAGTGGCTTTGAAAAAATCCCTAATTAAAATAAATTTCAAGGTTAAGCTATTTTTATTGATGTCTGAAAACAATTACCAGTACTCATGGCTTTTAAAATAATGACAGTGTGGGAAGCATATTTCAAAACCAGGAAAGCAGAAATTTGTGTTTATGAAGCCAAAAGTAGTCTTGCAATGCTTTGGAATATGCCTGGTAATTAATTATAGATGATATCATATGAAACCTCAAAGATTTTGGTGGGAGATGGAAACAAAGGGGCCTTATGCATTTCATTTCTGATATAATCCTTTTGCTGCTAGAGGGAATTACGATTTAATAAAAAGCAATAACAGGAGGATGTACTCTAAGAATACTAATTAATACCTTTAGCTCTACCAGAATGAGATTCTGTAAAAAATGGTGGGTTGTCAGTTGCCAAATCATGAAATATTGCAGGGAGGGAAAAGGCAACATACTCTTTCACAATATGGCTTGTTATGTTAAAACTGTTAGTGGTAGGGAATTTTGTACTTGTTAATCATTTGCGTTTTTACATCGCTGTTTGTAATTACAATTAAACAGATGGTTCTGAAAAAGATAGTGTGTTCTTAGCAATTAAAACCATGGCAAATAGCTTTTCCTCCTCCCCAGTATACAATTAAACTGAATAGAATCACGTAACCCAGTGGGTTCTTCAGAAGAAAGGTTCTGTGTGGATTCCAGTAGATTAGTATTCTGCTCCCCAGCCCTGTCATCTTGACCTCTTGCCCAGCTGAAAGCTTTGCAGCTGGCTGAGGACTTCCAAACATGGGTTTTATGGAGTAGTTATCCCTTCTCTGTTTTCTCCCCATATCTTATTCTTACCACATTGGGATTAATAGAATATGTTTTAGAGTGGATCTTTGGAACAGTCGCTAACAACCACTGGGTGTGTTGAATCTAATACAGCTTGCTAAATTCTAGGAGCTTGGCTAGTGCATGAAATTCCTCAAGGGCACAGGAAAATTGGTCTTTTTTTTTCTTATTCAGAAAACTAATGATGAGATGTTTGTTTATGAAAAAATCATTTCAGAGTTTGTAATCAAAAGAATACAGAATTTACTTTGCGTTCTAGGGAAACCAAAGTCTCACCTTATTGACTGATCCCCTCATCCCTATTACAACAAATTCAGGAGATTTTTCAACAACGATTCAGCACCCCAAGAAATATTTCACCAGTTGATATGTGGCTTTGTGGCCAGTGGTCCCTCTCTTGGACCAGACCTCAGCAGCGTGAATGGCTCTCCCGCAAAGCAGGGATTTGGAGCTGGCTGTGATCTGTTCGCAGATGAAACCTTGGAAATGTGTTTTGTTTGCCATGAGCATAAATAGTCCCAAGTATACTTTCAATGATTTTAGGTACAGGCTTTTGTGCCCACAAGTAAGCAGTTATTTGCTGGTGCAATTAACCATCTGCACCTTATTATGAGGGTGCAGCTGGCTAATTATGCTCGGCTCCATAGGTCAGGTTCAACTTCTCATCTGCATAGGAACTGTATTTGCAGCAAAAGGACATTGACCTTTAAAAATGAGTCCTTAAATTTAACCAGTTCATTTTGAGGTCACCACTCGTGGATTTTTATTTTGTTTTGTTCAGAAGTGAAATTCTTATATGGGTAGTGTATTTCTACTTGGGCAAAGTAATTAATGCAGGACTGTAGCACAGACATTATCATGAGTCAGGGACAAATGAGATCTCTACTTAATTCAGATGATTTTGGCTCCTCATTCTGGAGAAAGGTCCATCAATGTAGAGGTACCTGTATTCATGAACTTGTCTGAACGACAACTTGGGGCATCATCGAGACTTAAAATGGGGGTAAATGTGTGCATAAGTCAGTTCAAAATCATTTTTGCCAATAGTTGTACATTATTCTTATGATCTATTGGATGGACTATTTGAGAGAAGAACAGCAGAATACTGGAAAGGAGAACCTTAAATTTTATGTAGGTTAAATTAACAGTCAATGCAAGTTTGCTGGATAGAAAGCATCATTTAACTGGAGACTTACAGGAACCTGTCCAAAAGGTACCTACTGCTATCAGTTCCTGTGCCAAACCTGTGAGCCTGCTGGCTGTAAAACTCTTTTGTAGGACAAGAGTTGAGCCCAAAGGCAAGGGATGTCTAGTCCTCACTGATACAGTGGAGAGAGCCTTGTGGTGGGGTTGGGAAGCACAGGGCAAATGCCTTAACCACCCATGGAGTCTGGACTTGGCTAAGCACTTCCCAAACTTAGGCGACCTATTTGAAAATACCGATGTCCAGGACCGACTATAGATTGACTGAATCAGAATCTCTAGGGTAGGACTAGGTGATCCTCAGTTGATGCTACCCTGGGAAAAACTGGGTTGCAGAATTTCAAAGATGCTTTCCAAATTTTAAGAAATATTTAATTTTCAAAATGAACTCTCCTTAGAATTTTAGTTGTGGAATAGAACATACACGTAAATGTATGAAACACATTGTTACCATTTAACAAATAAAGGGAACAGATGTGTAACCACCACCTGGGCAAGGATTAGGATGTGGGTATCCTGGAATCCTTCTCCATCATAGCCCTCCTCTTCCCCACCTCAGAGGTAACTGCTATCCTGACCTTTACAGTCATTCTTGGGTTCTAATATAGTTTTGCCATTTTGTATACATTCCTAGAAACGTAGTTCAGTTTTTCCTTTGTCTGTACTTTATATAAATTGAATCACACTGTATGTATTCATGTTTCATGTTGCTTTTCTGCCCTCAACTTGATGTAAAATTCATCCATATTGTTGGTCTCTGTTTAGATCATCTTTATTGATTTGTGATATTATATTATAGGAATATGGCATTTTTTTCTATATGCTATCAATAAAAACTTGGGTTGTTTCCAATATTCCACTATTATGAATAACACTGCTATGAACAGTCTTACTCATATCTCTGTAGCATGTGCATACATTTCTCTGGACTGTCTACCAGGGTAAAACTGCTGGGTCATAGAACATACGTATCTTTAAGTTTACTAGATGATGGAATATGTTTTCTGAAGTTGTTTTACGTAGTTACAGCCCGACCAGCAAGTGCTTGGCATTTCCCATTACAACACAGAGGAGCCAATATTCAGAATTATCAGACTCAGATTTTGCCTATCTAGTACATGTGTAGGGGCATCTTGTGGTTTTAATTACATTTCCCTGTTTTTTTATTAGTTTGGGCATGTTTCATATATTTATTAGCCATTTAGATATTCTCTAGTGTAAACAGCCTGTTCTTTTGCTTTTTTCCCCTATTGGATTGTCTGTTTTTTTTTTTAATATTGTTTTGTAGGAGTTCTTTAAATATTCTGGTACAGTAGTTTTGTTGGTTATGTGTCACAAGTACCTTTTCCCATTTTGAGACTTGTCCTTTTATTTTTTATATGGTGTTTCAAACTCCTGGGCTCAAGTGATCCTCTTGCCTTGGCCTCCCAAAGTGCTGGGATCACAGGCATGAGCCACCACACCTGGCTAGTATTTTTTTTTTTAATGGCATTAAGATTGATTACAGGATTTACGTGTTATCAGCCAGATTGATTGATTATAATGTTCCCCATCAAGATTTCACCCCAAAGTTTTAGCATAAGAGCTTACATCCTTTCAGTAGGAGTGGCAATGTGATGATTTTCAAATAGTGCTATCATATTTCTTGTACATTCATTCATCAGCTAGAATTTTTCTTTAAAGAACTTTTTCTCATTTACTATTTTGCTACCATGAAATACATTTTATACAAGAAAGGCATGAATTCTCCTCCCTTCCTCTTTCCCTCCCTCCTTCCTTCCCCCTCCTTCCTCCCTTTCTTCCTCCTTTCTCCATTTCTCCCTTTCTCCCTTCCTCCCTTCTTTCCTTGCTTCTTCAGAATAGTGAATTGGTACTCTAGTGACCTCTAAAGGTGACTAATTAGTTTTATCCTGTCTTTGGCCAATGGGAGAACCCTGTAAGTTGGCCTCTATGTTATTTGATTGATGAATTGATTGTACAGTCTGTGATAGTTTCCTTGCTTTCAGGCATGACCAGGTGTTTCAGGCTCATCTTGTCTATTTCCTGCCCCAGACTTGGCTTTATAATAAGTGTTGATGTCTGATAGAGCAGATCTCTCCATTATCTTATCCTGGATCTCTGCCAAGGAGACAGAGCCTGAGTCTAGGACTTGAGTGTTGGTAGTTTATTTTTGCTAAGTGATTGCGGGGGAGGAGTGAGGGACTGAAAGAATGAGGCAGGGAAGGAAAAAAAGCAGTTTAAGGCTGTGTTCTTAAGTTGGCTATCAACATGGACAACTGAGGTTTTGTCCCACTGGGACCCTCTGAAGAGCCTTATAGGATGTACCTCAAAATTGTCTGCCCAAAGAATAGAAGAATGTAGCTTTTACGCACTAATTTCTGTCTGTCTCCCACTGGTCAAGGAATATGTCCTTCACACTTCCAGGCTGCATATGTGTGAGCACTAGGAGGTTCCTGTCAGATAAACCAAGGACAGAAAAAGTGAAATAATGCAGTGCAGCTGAGAGGGTGCTTCCAACTTACACTGTGGGAAGCTATTGGTGGGCCTAAAGGATGTGAGGTTGGGTACAAAAATCCTCCAATAATTTAATTTGTTCTTCTTCAATATAATCTTTGTTATTCTTGGCCCTTTTCATTCTCATAAAAATCTTAGACTCAGCATGTCAAGTCTCATCTAAAATTCTGTTTTTTTGAGGACTAAATTTTTTCAAGTTTTGATTTATTTGAAGTTCCATTTCCAGTTTGATCTGGAAAAATATCTTTTACAATACTGAATTTTCTAACCAATGAGTGTGGTATATCTCTTTATTACTTAGGTCATCTTGAATCTTAATAATGTATTATCATTTCATCTGTGGTATAGCCCTAGGAATTTGAACTTTTTATGGTATTGTAATTAACTGTTAGGTTGATTTTTTAAAAACTTTTTTGAGTATATAGAAATGCAATTTTAGGATATATTTATTTTATATTTAGCAATATTGCTAAACCTATTGATTCTAATAATTTATGTCAGCTTTTTGGATTTTCTAAAAATGTTATATATTCATATTATCTGCTAACAATTTGAGTTTTGTTTTGTCCTTTCCTTGAGTCTTTTTTGTCTTCCAGCATTAGATAGGACCTTAAATTTCTGTTGATTGGAATGGTGATAATGGGTATTAATAGATAAGGATCTTGTTCTTGATATCAAGTAAAATTTTTCAATGTTTATTGATTAAGCATTATGCCTGCTGTAGATTTTTATACATTGTAGATATGCATTATTAGTTTGGGGAAGTTACTTCTATTTTTAATTTGCTAATAACTTTTAAAAATCATAAATGGCTTTGAATTTTATCATATTCTTTTTCTGCATCTGTTGAGGCTATATATAATTTTTGTTGAATGTTGAACTACATTGTTTTGCTAATGTTAATATAACTTTACATTCTTGGTTAAAATTCAACATATTTCAATATGTTATTGCTGGATTAGTATTCTTTTTACTATTCGGTTTTTCCCTCTTCTAGTTTGGGCATTGTCACTCTCATTCTATTAATTTAGTACTTCCTTAAGAATCCAACATGTATGTATACTTAACTAAGTTAATAAAAACTGTCCTATTTCTCCTGGACATTAGAGAGATCTCAGAACTCTTTAACTCCGTGTACCCACCTCCTGACTTAAATGTTGATATTGTTTACGTTAAAATCTATTTAAAGCCTATTTTTACTGTTAATATTATAAACGCTATTATTATTTTTTAAATTCATGACAGCACTCATGTTCATTTTAAATCACTTCACTGTTGACCATGTTTCCCCCGCCATTTCTTCTTGCCTCTTAGATTTTTCCATTTGGGATCACTTTCGTTTTGCCTGAATTGCATCCTTTAGATTTTTCTTTATTGAGAGTCTGCCAAGGTGAATTCCCCAGGTTTGTTTGTCTTAAATTGTCTTTTATTTGCCCTTATTCTTGGGACATATTTTTCCTGGTTTTAGAATTAAAAGATGACAGTTTTTCCTTTCACTACATTTGAATGCATCATCCTACTGTCTTCTGGCTTCCAATCTATTGAGAAGTTAGCTCCCAATCTAACCATGTCTCATTTGGAGATTATTTTTTTACTGGCTCCTTTAGTAATTTTCTCCTTATTTTTGGTTTTCTTCACCCTCACTAGGATGAGTCTAGATACGACTTTTTCCCCCATTTATCTAGTTTGAGACTTTTTGAGCTTCTTGAATCTTCATTTTGGTTGTTCTCAACACTTCGGTAAATTATCAGTTGTTATTTGTTAGATGTTGCCTCTGACTCATTATCTCTCTTCTCTTACTTCACTCAAGCCTTCAGTGATATCAGATCTTTGTTCTCCATGTTTCTTAACTTGTTTACTTTTTTTGTCTTTTTGTCCCTCCATGTACTGTCCTGCATAATCCTTCTGATCTATTTTCTACTTTAGTAATTTTTCTCTTCAGCCATTTAAAATATACTATTTACTTACATGGAATATCTAAATTCCATTATTTTATCTTTTATTGCTGGATGTTATATTTGAATCCTTTTCAAATCTTCTATACAACTTACCCCTATAACATTTTGTTTAAACGATTTCATACCTAAAGAAAACTTGAAATAATAGTACAATGAAAACCCATATACCCTTTAATTAGAGTCAATCCTTGTTAACATTCTGCCACATTTGCTCGTGGTTCTCTTTCTCTTTCTTGAATCATTTGAAAGTAAGTTTATGACTTAGGTAAGGGAGATATCATGACACTTATCCCTTATATACATTAGCTGGTATCTCCTAAGACCAAGAACATTCTCTTGCATAACCACAATACTGTTATCACAGCCTACAAATTTAAAATGGAAACAGTATTATCTAATTTACAATCCATATTCATATTTTTCTGATTTTTCAATAATGTCCACTATAGTGTTTTTAACAATTTTTCAAGGATCCAGTCAAAGATCATATGCTGCATTAAGTTGTTGAATTTTTACAGTCTTTTTTGGTGTAGAACAGTTGCCCTTCGACTTTTTTTGATTGTTGTTGATTTTTGTTTTTCAGCACATTGACGTTTTTGAAGACTCCAGTTGTTTTACAGAATTGCTGTATCATTTTTTCTTAGATTCCCGTGCCTTGAAGATATCATCAAGCTTGTATGTTAGTACTTCAAACATATTAATCATGGTTTTTTTGTAATCTGTATCTAATAATTCCCCTATGTGAAGCCTTTCATGGTATTTCTGCTATCTTTAGTTTCTGCAAATTTTTGCTCATGGTGTCTTACTTTCTTGTGTTTTTGTTTATTTCTTACTATGTGTTCCTCACTGTCCTTGAAATATTATCTGTAGGTATTCTTATTCTTTGTGGTCTTGAATGATGGTGCCTTCCTCCAGGGGAGATTTTTTTTTTTTTTTTTTTGAGATGGAGTCTCACTCTGTCGCCCAGGCTGGAGTGCAGTGGCGCAATCTTGGCTCACTGCAAACTCCGCCTCCCGGGTTCAAGCCATTCTCCTGCCTCAGCCTCCCCAGTAGCTGGGACTACAGGTGCCCCTCACCACGCCCGGCTAATTTTTTTTGTATTTTTAGTAGAGACGGGGTTTCACCTTGTTAGCCAGGATGGTCTCGATCTCCTGACCTCGTGATCCGCCCGCCTTGGCCTCCCAAAGTGCTGGGATTACAGGTGTGAGTCACTGTACCCGGTCCCTCCAGGGGAGATTTATATTTACCAGGTACCTCAGCATCTTTTAGTCTGGGAATACCCCAAGCCTAGCTCATGGCTTGAAGTTCTCTGGACAGTTTAAGTGATGTGGACCTGGGCTGCAAATTTGAGTCAGAATTTACCTCAACTTTTTGGGTATTTTTCCTCTTTCTTTTTATTCTCTTTTTCTGCTCAGCACCAGGACAGGTTTTATGACTTGCTAGAGATGGTAATGGAGTGGCCAGCTTTAATTTTGGGTCCCAGTCTAAGGTAGAGAAGGTTCCTCATACTTCCCATCTTTTGCAGGCTCTGATCATTGACTTCTATCTCTCTGTGTGTGTGTGTAATATTTCTTATGTCATGTTATATGATTTTTATTAAATTGTTTTATTTTATATTTATCTCTTTTACAGATTATACCTTGGTGCTAACTGACAACATATTATTTGCTTTATCATATAATATACATAAATTTGTAAAAAATTATAATAATATGACTACTAACAATAAACTAAGAAATTTTTTTTGAAATCAATACAGTTGCATTTATTATTCTGTAGGGCCAAGTAACAAAGGTTTTACTAATAAAGATTTTTCATTTCATCTAAATGAGTGAAATTTTAGTCTAATTATAGATAGAAATTAATGACATGCTGACATACCTGGCATTCATAGACAATTTGTTTTTTTAAATATCTTAACTTTTATTTTAGGTTCAGGGGTACATGTGTGGCTTGTTATATAAGAAACTCGTGATTTGGGGGTTGAATGTACAGATTATTTCATCACCCTGGTTCTAAGCATAGTACCTGAAAGCTTTTTTTTTTCTGAACCTCTCACTCCTCCCACCCTCCTCCCTCAAGTAGGCACAATGTCTGTTGTTCCCCTCTTTCTGTCCATGTGTTCTTGTTATTTAGCTCTTATAAGTGAGAACAGACGGTATCTGGTTTTCTGTTCCTGTGTTAGTTTGCTGAGCATAATGGTCTAACGTTCCATCCATGTTCCTGCAAAGGACATGATCTCATTCTTTTTTATGGCTGCATGGTATTCCATGGTCTATATATACCACATTTTCTTTATTGAGTCTACCATTGATGAGCATTTAGGTTGATCCATGTCTTTGCTATTGTGATTAGTGCTGCAGTGAACATACGTGTGCATGTGTCTTTATGGTAGAATGATTTGTATTCCTTTGGGACCATACTCAGTAGTGGGATTGCTAGGTTGAATGGTAGTTCTCTTTTCAGTTCTTTGAGGAATTGCCACACTGATTTCTAGAATGGTTGAGCTAATTTACTCTCCCACCAGAAGTATATAAGCATTAGTTTTTTCTAGTTCCATGAAGAATGTATTAATTACCGCTAGTATGATAGGAATAGCACTGAATCTATAAATTGCTTTGGGCAGTATGGCCCCTTTAATGATATTTCTTCTTTCTACCCATGAGCATGTAATATCCTTCCATTTGTTTGTGTTGTCTCTGATTTCTTTGAACAGTGTTTTGTCATTTTCATTGTAGAGATTTTCACCTCCCTGGTTAGCTGTGCTCCTAGGTATTTTTTTGTTTTTGTGGTAATTGTTAATGGGATTGCATTCCTGATTTGGATCTTGGCTTGGATGCCGTTAGTGTATATGAATGCTACTGATTTTTGTAAATTGATTTAGTATCCCAAAACTTTGCTGAAGTTGCTTATCAGCTCAAGGAGCTTTGGGGCAGAGACCGTGGGGTTTTCTAGATACAGAATTATGTCATCTGCAAACAGGGATAGTTTGACTTCCTCTCTTCCTATTTTGATGCCTTTTATTTCTTTCTCTTGCCTGATTGCTCTGGCCAGGACTTCCAGTACTGGAAGTGGTGAGAGTGGACATCCTTTGAGTTGTTCCAGGTTTCAAGGGAATGCTTCCAGCTTTTGCCCATTCAGTATGATGTTGGCTCTGAGTTTGTCATGCACAGCTCTCATTATTTTGAGGTATGTTCCTTCAATGCCTAGTTTAGTGATGGTTTTCAACATGAAGGGATGTTGAATTTTACTGAAAGCCTTTTCTTCATCTATTGAGATAATCATGTGGTTTTTGTCTTCAGTTCTGTTTATGTGATGAATCACATTTATTGATTTGCATATGTTGAACCAACCTTGCATCATGGGGATAAAGCCTACTAGATGGTGGTGGATTAGTTTTTTGATGTGCTACTGGATTCAGTTTGCTAGTATTTTGCTGAGGATTTTTCATCTATGCTTATCAAGAATATTGGCCTGACATTTTCTTTTTTTGTTGTATCTCTGCCATGTTTTGGTATCAGGATGATGCTGGCCTCATAGAATGAGTTGGAGATGACTCCCTCCCCTTCAATTGTTTGGAATAGTTTCAGTAGGAATGGTACCCATTCTTCTTTGTACATCTGGCAGAATTTGGCTGTGAATCTGTCTGGTCCTGGGCTTTCTTTGGTTCGTAGGCTATTTTTTACTGATTCAATTTCAGAGCTTGTTATTAGTCTGTTTAGGGATTCAATTTCTCCCTGATTCAGTCTTGGGAGGATGTATGTATCCAGAAATTTATCCATTTCTTCTAGATTTTCTAATTTGTATGCATAAAGGAGTCTCTGATGGTTATTTGTATTTCTGTGGGGTCAGTGGTAATATCCCCTTTGTCATTTCTCATTGTGTTTATTTGGATCTTCTCTCTTTTCTTCTTCATTCTTCTAGCTGGTGGTCTATCTATCTTATTAATTGTTTCAAAAAATAAACCTCTGGATTTGTTGATATTTTGTATTTTTTTAATATCTCTATCTCCTTCAGTTCAGCTCTGATTTTGGTTACTTCTTGTCTCCTGCTAGCTTTGGGGTTGGTTTGCTCTTGCTTCTTTAGTTCTAATTGTGATGTTAGGTTGTTAATTTGAGATCTTTCTAACTTTTTGATGTGGGCATTTAGTGCTATAAATTTCCCTCTTAACACTGCCTTAGCTGTTTCCCAGAGATTCTGGCATGTTGTGTCTTTGTTCTCATTAGTTTCAAATAACTTCTTGATTTCATTATTTACCCAAGACTCATTTGGCAGCAGGTTGTTTAACTTTCATACAGTTGTATGGTTTTGAGTGACTTTCTTGGCTTTGATTTCTATTTATATTGTGCTGTTGTCTGAGAATGTGGTCAGTATGATTTCGTTTTTTTGTGTGTTTGCTGAGGATTGTTTTATGTCAGATTGCATGGTCAATTTTAGAATATGTACCATGTGGTGATGAAAAGAATGTATATTCTGTTGTCTTTGGGCAGAGAGTTCTGTAGCTGTGTACTAGGTCCATTTGATCTAGTGTTGAGTTTAGGTCCTGACTTTCTTTGTTAATTTTCTGCCTTATCTGTCTAATGCTGTCAGTAGGGTATTGAAATCTCCAACTATTATTGTTTGTGAAACTAAGCCTATTCATAGATCTCTAAAAACTTGCTTTATGAATCTGGGTGCACCTGTTTTGGCTGCATATAGATTTAGGGTAGTTAGGTCTTCTTGTTAAATTAAACCTTTCATCATTATGTAATGCCCTACTTTTTCCTTTTTGATCTTTGTTGGTTTAAAGTCTGTTTTGTCTGAAATTAGTATTGCAGCCTCTGCTTTTTTTTTGTTTCTATTTGCTTAGTAGATTTTTCTCCATCCCTTTACTTCAAGCCTATGGGTGTCATTGCATGTGAGATGGGTCTCTTGAAGACAGCATACCATTGGGTCTTGCTTCTTCATTCAGCTTGCCACTCTGTGCCTTTTAACTGGGGCATCAAGCCCAGTTACATTCAAGGTTAGTATTGATATGTGTGGATTTGATTCTGTTATCATATAGTTAGCTGGTTATTATGAAGACTTGTTTGTGTGGTTGCTTTATAGTCTCACTGGTTTGTGTAGCTAAGAGTGTTATTGTAATGGCTGGTAATGGTCTTTCTATATTGACTGCTTCTTTCAGGAGCTCTTGTAAGGCAGTTGTGATAGTAACAAATTCTGTCAGCATTTGCTTGTCTGAAAAGGGTCTTATTTCTCCTTTGCTTATGAAGTTTAGTTTGAGCAGATATGAAATTTTTGGTTTGAATTTCTTTTCTTTAAGAATGTTGAATATAGACCCCCAATCTCTTCTGGCTTATAGGGTTTCTGCTGAGAAATATGCTGTTAGTCTGATGGGTTTCCCCTTTGTAGGTGACCTGTCCTTTATCTCTAGCTGCCTTTAACATTTTTTCCTTCATTTCAACCTTGGAGGGCTCATGATTATGTGTCTTGGGGATGATCTTCTTGTGAAGTGTCTTTTGGAGGTTCTCTGCATTTTCTGAATTTGAATGTTGGCCTCTCTAGCTAGGTTGGGGAAGTTTTCATGGATGGTATCCTGAAACACATTTTCCAGGTTGCTTCCTTTCTCCCAGTCTCTTTCATGGACACCAGTGAGTCATAGATTTGGTCTCTTTTCATAATCCCATATTTCTTGGAGGTTTTGTTCATTCATTTTTATTCTGTTTTCTTTATTCTTATCTGACTGTTATATTTCAGAAAGTCGGTCTTCAAGCTCTGAGAGTCTTTCCTCAGCCTAGTCTGTGTTGCTGTTAATACTTGTGATTGCTTTATGAAATTGTTGTAATGTGTTTTTCAGCTCTATCGGTCAGTTACATTCTTTTCTATACTGGCTATTTTGTGTGTCAGCTCTGTATTGTTTTATTATGATTCTTAGCTTCCTTGGATTGGGTTTCAACATTCTCCTGAATCTTGATGATCTTAGTTTCTATCCATATTCTGAATTCTATTTCTGTCATTTCAGCCATCTCAGTCTGGTTAAGAACCCTTGCTGGAGAACTAGTGTGGTTGGGAGGAAAGAAGACACTCTGACTTTTTGAGTTGCTGGAGTTCTTGCGTTGGTTCTCTCTCAGCTGTGTGGGCCAATGTTCCTTCAGTCTTTGTCCTTTTGGATGGATTGTTTTGATTTTTATTTTCTTTGATGCCTTTGAATGTTTGATTATGGTATAAGGCAAGTTTGATTGACTGGCTTCGATTCTAGTCTTCTGGGTCTTAGAGGAGCCTCCTCCTATTACTGTCTCTGTGTCTGCTTTCTTTTGTTGGATATTCTGGTCTACAGAGCTCCCTCAGGCTGGGGCTGCAGTTGGCCAACAAGACATGTCCTTGCCAGGTCAGCCCTAATCTGCTGTTCATGTGCTTCCTGGGGAAACACAGGGTTGTGTCCACCCACAGAGTTCAGGTGGAAATGGGACTGCTGAGTTGGAAACTCTAGTGGGTGTGGCCCATCTGGCTATGGGCCTTTGGGGTGGGTAGGATTGCCAGCCCTACTGTCTGGGTGTTTCCAAAGCAATAGGAGGCTGCACCTCTCAGCAAATTCAGGGAGACATAGGGCTGCAGGGCTAGAAGCTCTAGCAGGTGTTGTCTGCCTGGTTATCAGTGGTTGAGGTCAGTAGGGTCACATGCTCTGCTCTCCAGGACAACAGGAGGCTGTGCTCTTTAGCTGAGTTCACACAGAAGCAAGGCTGCTGGGCTAGAAGCTCTACTTAGTTGTCCACTTGGCTACCAGTGGCAGGGGTGGGTAGGGTCTTCCTGTGACAACAGGAGGCTGTGCCCTCCAGCTGAGTTCACGCAAAAATGAAACCACTGAGCTGGAGGCTCCAGCAAGTGTTGCATAGCTGGCTATCAATGGCAGGGTAGGAGAGGTGGCCAGCCAATTTCAGGCTGGAGGTGGGCCAGAAGCTGACACTGAGCCCTGGCTGGCAAGCAGTGGCAGAACAATGTTGGTGCTCCTCGGAACTACAACTGTGGCCTCTGTTGGAGCTGTGGCACTGGTGCTGGTCTGCTCTGGGGCCCAAGGCTTGTGGGGGTCCCCTTGGACTCGGAATTACCCCTGCAAAATGCTGGGGTGGCTCTCTGCCTCATTCTATAAGTGTTGGGGATGGGTTTCAGGGGGACAGGATGATTCTCTCATTCCCAGTCTTGCACAGGCGTCTGTAGAGAGCATGAATCCCCCAGGGGTTCTCACTCACTTCCCCTTTCCCGTGTTGGAGAGCCTCTCCTGGCTCCACGCTGAGCCCAGACAGGCTGGTGCGCAGCTTTGCTCCTCTCTATTCTCTGTTTTCCCCTGTTGCCCTGATGCATCCCAATGTGGTTTCTCAGATGATCACTATGTAGGGTCTGTATTCATTGGCCTTTTTGTTCCCTCTCTGAGAGTGGCACACATGAGCTCCTTCTAGTCTGCCATTGTAGCGTCCGACTTCTATCTCATTGGCTGGTAAGGCCACCAAAACCAAGGCCCAGATTTTTCTGGATCAGCAAATGCCCTAAGGGCAAAAGTGACTATGGTGTTCTAGGGCTTTGCTTACTTCTGTGGTGCTTGATTTCTTTTATTGTTTGGTCTGGTAATCATTTACTATCTTGACAGCTCTTTAAGGAGATTAATTTTTTTTTCACCTATAGCTTTTCATTGTGTTTACATGGATGGTTGGTTCAACTGTTAGTTGCCATTACTAGAAGTGGAAGTCCTCTTCACTTTTAGAAGAATATCTTATTGTTTTCCTTGTTAGAGATATAGAGTGGAAACAGATATTTTTCATGCTGTTAATGGGAATTGATCTGGCCAAACCCTGTGAAAGCAGCACACTAAGAATTTCCTCTCAATATTTACCAACGTGATAACTAAAAGAAAAATGGCCCTGTTATATGCCAGACAGCTCAAGTACAGTGTTACATTATGTAACCAATCTCTGTCATTGGTTTTCATTACTGAATTCTGTTATGACACCCATCCAATATGAATTAAAAGAATTACATTTGACATTTTAATAAAAGGTAGACATGCAGCATTTAACAAGTATCTGCTAGTAAGGATGTATAAGAGCCAGTGATCAATGTTGAAAGCACTCAATCGAGAACGGTCAAACTAGCTTGCTGTTCACTTGCTTCTGGAAATTGCCACATCCCTAATGGCTGGTGGAGATTGATGAAAGCACTGGTCCCTTTCTCTATTGATTTCAGTTGGAGCCATGGAAGTGTCAATGAGTAAATCCAAGTTTGCTCTTCTGTGTATAGCTGGCTTTATTAAAAGAATTCTAAGCATTTTTCTGTGAAGGGAAATCTGATTCCCAGGTGTTACTTTTTTGTCAGAATTTGGTTAACAAACAAGATCAATTTTTAATAATGTTTGCAAACTATTAATATGTTTAATAATGTTTGCAAAAATAACTCACATTGTTAGCACTTGGAGAAAATGCATGTAAAATGTGTCAGTTTTCCAATCTTTAGAACCTGATAATGAAATATTTTCTTTACTTTTTTGAGACAGAGTCTGACTCTGTCACCCAGGCTGGAGTGCATTGGCAAGATCCCAGCTCACTGCAACCTCTGCTTCTCAGGCTCAAGCCATCCTCCCACTTCAGTCTCCCAAGTAGCCGGGACTAAAGGTGTGCACCACCATGCACAGCTAATCTTGGTATTTTTTGTAGAGATGGGGTTTCACCATATTTCACAGGCTGGTCTTAAACTCCTGAGCTCAAGTGATCTGCCCACCTCGGCCTCCCAATGTGCTGGGGAACTATTTTCTGTTATCTGTTCTGGACTCACACATTCTGGATGACTGGAATTCTTTGGACCCATATGAGCCTCTGCAAAGACATTGGTATGTGCTGGTCATATTCAAATGTGAGATTCATAAGAATAGAATAATTTGTGTATGGAATTACCTGTCCTGGGTTACCTAATCCAGAGATCCAGCAATTTTTCTTAATTCCTGAATTTCCAGGCATTGTAAAGCATACTTCACTGTGCTTGGCACAGATTAATTAGTCTATATATTATATATAGGTACAAAAAGTATAAGCTTATTCTCTCCTATTCTAATAGAAATGAGGCATTTTTAACTTGCTTGGAAATAGCAATTCATACCATTGCATAGTGGTTATTTGCAAATCTTCCTAATAAACTCCAGGAATAAATTTTAGGTAAATGTATGATGCCTACAAATATAGTAATTGTCATAGAGAATGCTAGATTTCAAGTGACAGAAACTTTTACTTCAATACAGCTTAATCAAAATAATAAATTTATTAGTCCGTTTAGTTAGGACACTAGGATGGTTCACAGGATCAAAAGATGAACCACAGACATCAGGGTCTCAAAGTTTGGAACTGCTCTCAATGTCTGCTATGATTCACTTGTATTCATCTTTCTTACCTCCTTCCATCCATCTATGCATCTATCCACCCTGCTCACATCTCTGCTTTTATATACTTGGCTTTGCTCTACAGAAGGACTTCTCCATGTGATGAGGCTACCAATACCTTTAAATTCATTTTTGGCCCAGCAAGCCCAAAGAAATAACTTCTCTTTCCCAAAATCTGGCCATCATTCAAGGGAAGGATTATGACAGGCATTGTTAGGGTCACATGTACACCCCCAAGACCAATCAGAGCAGAAGAGTATAGGATACTATGATTGGCTATGTCTGCCTACCTCTCTGGAGAGGGCAGTGGGTTCTTACCAGAAGGAGAATAGGGGAGGGACAAGGGAGAGGGAATTACACTGGATAGCCAAAAGAAATATTTTAATAGATTGTTTAAAAGGGTTAGGAGCAGTTAAAGAGTATTTTTAATTGAAAACACAAACTTGAATCCAAGCAAGATGAATAGGTTTGAGAAAATGATCTACTAAATTCATTATATATGCATATGAGAAGACATTTTCTCATGTTAGAAAATTCTATAGATTAGAAAAACTGGTACAACAACTGGATGAAAGGATGGATTGTTGCAGGTGTTAGGAAAAGAAATTAATATGCTCAGGATTTCTGTTGCTTAGATTTCTTTCATAAAGAAGTCACTAAGAAATGGTAGACTGCAGCTTATTTATTTATTGTTAAACAAGCAAAAGAAGGCCATTACATCTCTTGTTTACATTAAAATATGAATAAGCCTTCATTGATTTGATGGTTGCATCCAAAGTAAGGAATTTTAGTTATCAATAAATGGTAATTTCAATACCTGTTCTTCATTGTAGCAAATGTGTAAACAAATGTGTATTTGTTTAAGAATTTGCTGCAATGAAAATAATATGAATTGCATAGCATTCATAAGAATCTTATAAAATAGATTAGCTTAAGTGGTGTGTATACACATGCACATACCATGCATGTGTCTGTAATAGTTGAAGCAAATTCTCCAAATGAACATTCGTCATGTGTGATGGCTGTAGTAACAAAAGGTGTTCTCACTTTGTGCTCCTGAAATCCTACCAGTCTTTCAGACTCTGGTGTTGACAGAATCAAAGGCATATAAGATAGAAGTTATTATATTTTAGTAAGGCAAACATGGCTTTAAAATAGCTTGTCTGCCATGTTTAAATTAGCATATTTGACAAATTGAGAAAGACCATCAAAAACTGCTTTTGCAAGTTACAGTCTAGATGGTTATTCAAGTTATTCATGCAATGATACATTACAAATAATAGATGGACTGCAATTATTTATAAGGAATTCACTTTGTCAAGATACTATGGTCACAGCATACAGCTCAGATGATACTTGTGTCAAAAAACATTGACTGGCTCAGATGACTCAGAAGTTCGTGGCTGGATCTAAGAATTCAAATGATGGCCTAAGAAGTCAGTCTGTTGGCACTGCTGTCATTTGTGTGGCTTTGTTCTCAGACAGCCTCTCCCCTCCTAGGGGCAAAATGGCTGCCAGCAGCTTCAGGCTCAAATCCCGATTTCAGCACCTCAATACAAAGAAAGCATTGCCTCTCTTGCAGCAGTTCACCCCAAAATCAGAATTAAGCCTCATTGGCTTTGGTGGGCTTGGCTTGGGTCATGTGCTGTGTTCTGAACCATATAGCTAGGGAGGTGCAATACTGGGATAGGCCACTCCTGGATTGGAGTGAGGGGTTTCCTTAGGGAAACCCATGACATTGTTTCCAGCAAGAGGTTGGGGGGATGGATGCAGGATAGTAAAAACCAATAAATATCTGCGAAATTATTCTTTTTTTAAATGAAGATATCTTTGAGAAGGAAAATGTAATGAACAGATCAGTGATTCAGCTGTCAATCCAGTCATTCAACAAATATTTATTGACTCTATGCCAATCACTATGCAAGGCATGTATAACAGCAATGAACAAGCTGGTTGAGATCTCTGACCTCCTGAAGCTTGCTCTCTGGTAGGGAAGGAAGACATAAAAATTTAGTTACATATTTATATCTTATGTGAAAAGTGCATTGCTGTGAGGACATATAAGAAGGGGATGTCAGAGAGGTCAAGGGTCTAGGAAGCCTTCAGAGAAAGGATTTCTAGATTAAGTGCTGTTTCAGCTGAGATCTGTGGGATGAGTCTAAGCATGGACAAGGGAACAGGATGGAAGAAGAAAGTTCCAGGCATTTTACCCTTAAACAGTTTGATCAAAGGAAACAGGGAGAGCCCAGACAGAGGAGGGAGAGAGTGTACCAATTGGGTTAATGGACTTAGAATGAGAGGCTGGATGTTTCAGAGATAAGTACTTTGCCTTTCCCCAGGGTGTCTGAGGGTGTTCATGATAGTGAGTTTCCCAGTCTAGATCCATGCATGGATCAAGACTCTTTCTGAAAGAAGATCAGTAGCCCAGGCTTGAATTTGATAAAGTTCAGAGAACCTCAATTTTAATGTATTTTCAAAAACATGTATTGTTCTTTTGTGTTCTTCAAGTGAGAAGGGTCTGGAAAATGTGCCCTTTCTTGCTTGGTAGATAAATAAAAAATTCACTTTTGGCCACTGTAATTCAGCCATTCAGTGTTGATATACTAAATGTCCATCTCAGGTAACAGGAATTGTATCTCAGCCTGATACCTAAAATGAAGCAATCAAGATGGCAAGACTTCAGCTGTACAAGTCTTGGATTAGGTGGCATGAATGGATGATCCAGGTTAATTTCAGAAACCTAAGCCATGCTCTCAGTAGACTTTTACTAGTCCTGGGCACTTCCTGTGTTACTGGAAAGGGGTCCCGATCCAGACCCCAAGAGAGGGTTCTGGGATCTTGTGCAAGAAGGAATTCAGGGCAAGTCCATAGAGTAAACTGAAAGCAAGTTTATTAGGAAAGTAAAGGAATAAAAGAATGGCTACTCCATAGACAGAGCAGCCCCGAGGGCTGCTGGTTGCCCATTTTTATGGGTTATTTCTTTGATGATTTGCTAAACAAGGGGCAGATTATTCATGCCTCCCCTTTTTAGACCATATACGGTAACTTCCTGATGTTGTCATGGCATTTTTAAACTGTCATGGCGCTGTTGGGAGTGTAGCAGTGAAGACGACCAGAGGTCATTCTCGTGGCCATCTTGGTTTTGGTGGGCTTTAGCCGGCTTCTTTACTGCAAACTGTTTTATTAGCAAGGTCTTTATGACCTGTATCTTGTGCTGACCTCCTGTCTCATCCTGTGACTTAGACTGCCTTAACTGTCTGAGAATGCAGCCCAGTAGGTCTCAGCCTCATTTTACCCAGCTCCTACTCAAGATGGAGTTGCTCTGGTTCACACGCCTCTGACACTTGTATTGTGCTTCATACAATTTGCCATTTTGTCTTCAAATTTTTTTAAAAAAATTCCTTTTCTGAATTGGAAAGTTCTTTAGGCATAGATTAATATCTGTCCCTGTATACCATCTTCACGTTATGAATGAGAGATTTCTGCTTCTGATAATGGTAGGCTAGGTAATTCAGGCCCACCCCTCTCCTGAAGGTGACTAGAAAGGCTGGACAGATTATAAACCAAAGCTTGCTTCAAGGCTTTAGAAGGCTTACAAGATGGTGAAGGATTACCAGGCCAAGTCTAGGGGAGGGTAGAGGCCCAGGGAGGTGAACCCCAAAATTGGAGCCCCTTCTTTCCCTGAGAGCACATGAAAATTTCAAGGAAGAGCTGTGAGACTTAAGTGGATGGGCAGCCTTTTGGGGATAATGCAACAGGGATTGATGACCAGAGCCTGCCAAGGATAGAGGGAGCCTAGTGAACCCCCATCTCTTTGGGTTTCTATTTCAAAGGGCTGCTTCAAAGGAGTAGGGATAAACTGGAAGTAGGCCCATGAAGCCATTTGAAATGCAAAAACAAGCTGTAGAGTGGGAAAAGATATTTGTAAAAACATTTAACTGACAAAGGGCTTCTATTTAAAATATTTAAAGGACTTCTGCACATCAGTAAGAAAAAGATAACCTAATAGAAAAAAGCCAAGAGACTTGAACACTTCACAAGGCTTTTCACAAAAGAGGAGATCCAAATGACCAACAAATGTATGAAAAGATACGCCGTCTCATTAGTAATCAGGGAAATGCAAATTAAAACCACAATGAGCTATCATGACACATCCACCAGATAGCTAAAATTAAGATTGTCAATAACAAGTGCTTGCAAGTTTGGATGGCAACCAGATCTCTCATATACTGCTGATGGGAGTATAAATAGGTACAACCACTTTGGAAAACTATTCAGTCTCAACTACTATAGCTTAAGATATGCATACTATGAAGGAGATTCACTGTGCACCGATTACCAACTTGTCTGAGTTTGTTAAGACAGAACACTCACATACAACAGATCACATGAAGTGAGTTTATTACAAGGGACAGCAGAAACCCAGGAACCCAGAAACCCAGGATTCATTGCAATCCAGTCCCCCAAGTTTCAGGAAATATCATCTCCATCCCAAGGCAGATGGAGTCTCACTTTGCACCACAGCTGAGGGACCCTGGAAAGTAGCCCTCCCTGGTTTTTATACCCTGGAATAATATGACTCACTGGGCTAAAGCATTGAAAGACATCCTGTTCTGGCGGGGGGCTAGTAGAACAGAGCCCAGACAGTTCCAGCCATTCCCTTTCCATCTCAGGATGTTGCATTCCTAGCATATTCTACAGTTATTCTTCACAACTACAAGCAAGAGATGGGGGAGGACAGAGTCAGTCCAAGACCACACAGAGAGCCTATCCTGCACATACTCTATGATCTAGCAGTTTCTTTCCTAGATATAGACTCTGATTACCTTTGTGCATGGAAAGACATTTGCAAAAATGTTCATAGCATCATAGAATAATAGGAAACAACCTCAAGTTGGAAACAACCCAAATGTTAATTGGTGGTAGAATGGATAAATAAATTGCAGTAAATTCAAATGGTGGATTATTATACACAAAATGGACTACAGCTGTATATAATAAAATAGATACATTAGAGTTAAATAATCTAGACACAAAACGTACATAATATGTGATTCCATTCATCTAGATATTAAAAGCCAGGCAAAAGTATAATGTTTAGGGATGCATGCTTAAGTCATAAAAGAGAATTAAGGGGCCGGGCTCTGTGGCTCACGCCTGTAATCCCAGCACTTTGGGAGACTGAGGCGGGCAGATCACTTGAGGTCAGGAGTTTGAGACCAGCTGGCCAACATGGTGAAACCCCATCTCCACTAAAAATACAAAAATTAGCTAGGTATGGTGGCAGATGCCTGTAATCCCAGCTAGTCGGGAGGCTGAGGCATGAGAATTGCGTGAACCTGGGAGGTGGAGGTTGCAGTGAGCCAAGATGGCACCACTGCACTCCAGCCGGGGTGGGTAAGACTCTGTCTCAAACAAACAAACAAACAAACAAAGAGAATCAAATCAAGGAAAGTGATTTCTACAAAAAGTGAGGATAGTGGTTACCTTTAATGGGGAGAGAGCGTCTACGGGTGAGAGGGGTCTTCTGGGGTGTTGGCAGTGCTCTGTTTCTTAACCTCGGTGATTATTATACAGGTGTTCACTTTGTAATAATTCTTTATGTGAGGCACTTTTCTGTATGCACATTATATTTCACAATAAAATCTTTTAAAAGGTGATATCACTTTATCTCTTATCTACCTCATTGAAACTGAAATTAAAATTTATCACCTGCTCAATCAAACTGTAACAATGCTTTTCACTTAGAGATGTGAACCAAGCCTGAATGTTGGCAGATATGCAGAGTCAAGGTCAAAATTCTGTTGGATTTCTAGGTGCTTATTACCATATGCTAGTAACCGTATCACTGAGTTTCATCTTTACTCCTCAAAAACAATATGTTTTTATTTAGAATTAATTAACATAGTTCTTTGCATATAGTAGATACTGTACTATTTTAAGTCAGGGTTTTCTAGGGAAACAGAACAAATAGCATATCCATATCTGTGTTTATATCTATATCTAGGAAGACATTTACGATAAGGTATTGATTTGTGGGATTATGGAGGCTGAGAAGTCCCACAATATGTTTTTGGAAAGGGGTCCCAATCCAGACCCCAAGAGAGGGTTCTTGGATTTCACACAAGAAAGAATTCAGGTCAAGTCCACAGAATAAAGTGAAAGCAAGCTTATTAGGAAAGTAAAGGGATAAAGAATGGCTACCCCATAGGCAGAGCACCCCTGAGGGCTGCTGGTTACCCATTTTTATGTTTATTTATTGATTATATGCTAAACAAGGGGTGGATTATTCATGCCTCCCCTTTTTAGACCATATAGGGTAACTTCCTGACATTGACATGGCATTTGTAAACTTTCATGGCACTGGTGGAAGTGTAGCAGTGAGGACAACCAGAGGTCACTCTCATCACCATCTTGGTTTTGGTGGGTTTTAGCTGGCTTTATTTACTGCAGCCTGTTTTATCAGCAAGGTCTTTATGACCTGTATCTTGTGCTGACCTTCTATCTCGTCCTGTGACTTAGAATGCCTAACTGGCTGGGAATGAAGCCTAGGAGGTCTCAGCCTCATTTTACCTAGCCCCTATTCAGCATGGAGTTACCCTGGTTCAAACTCCCCTAACAAATATACTATCTGCAAGGTGAAGATCCAGGAAAGCTGATGGTGTGGTTTGAAGGCCTGAGAGCTGGAGAGCCAATGGTGTAGATTCCAGTTTGCATCTGTAGGCCTGAGAACCATGAGCACTGAGGGCAAGAGATTGATATCTCAGCTCAAGCAGTCAGGCAGGGAGGGTAAATCCTCCCTTCCTCCAACTTTTTGTTCTATTGAGGCACTCAGTTAATTGGATGCTGCTCACTCATATTGGGGATGGCAATGAACTTTACACAGCCCATTGATTCAAATGCTAATCTCTTCCAGAAACATCTAGATAGACATGCCCAGAAATAATGTTTAGCTGGATATCTGGGCATCTCGTGTCCCAGTCAAGTTGACACATAAAATTGCCTATCACATCTACTACTTATTAAATTGAAAAATAAGATAATTGAATTTCCTTGTGACAAAAGTAGTCTGTTTTGAAACTATAATACTTGTAGATTCTTGGTATGAGTCATGAAAATGATGTAAATTGGGGCTCACAAATAATAAGCACTTTTTGCAACCATACCTTTCTCTGTTTCTGTTTTTTCCTTCTTCCTACATGGTCCTTAGTTGGCTATTTGATTTTTTTCTTTGCCTGTGTCTGACCTGGAAACTTCTACAGTTTGAACAAGTTTCCAGTACCTGATACTTTCCCATGGAGAAGCAGTTCATTTTGTAATTTGAGGCTTTGGAAAAACTCCTTTTCATTATACATCTGCATTTTCCTTTTCTTTAACATGGGTCAAATAAGTGAATTCTTAATGGAATCTGTCTTTCTTTTATCTACCTAAGATATAAGAAGGCACATATCCTGCAGAGACAGATTGTTTTTAAGAAGCTTTTCAAGGGGAAGAGAGCAGAGGCCAATGTGAAACCTATAAAACCTGAAATAATCCAGTTTTAAAAAGATCAAATAAATAGAAAACCATAGCACACAACAGCTTTAGAGACAGTAGAAAGCTAGAAGATGAAGCAGGATTAAAAAGTGAAAATTAATCCTTATACTCAGTGAATGCCTAGAAAACCCCCCACTGACAACCAAAGTCATACGGTATTTGAGTATTTTCCTTGTTTTTAATTTGATATTTTCTTGTGAAAATGGTGTTTGGGGGTAAAAATAATATTTATCAACATTCCAGAGTATAGTAGCCCTTGCCCTCACTGTAGCAGAAGCCAAAGTTGAAGACATGTGAACAGTTTTATGCATTCACATTTACTTCCAGAAAGCAAAGTTAATTGCATAGAATTCCTTTCGCTTTAGTTTTTTCTTTTCTTTTTTTTTTTTTTAAACCAAACTTTCTGCTAACAATAACACCAGTAACAATTACGTGCCAGGCACTGTGCAAAGTGAAGTCCTTTACAAACATTATCTCATTTAATCTTCTTAATAAATGCATGAGATGGATGTGATAGATGGATTCCAAGATGGCTCCAAGTTATTATCACTTTCTGGTATTTACATTCATGTAAATGTGTGGCCTATTTCACATTGAATAGGGCTGATCTGTGTGACTAATAGATGTTGTGCAAGTGACAGTGTGTGACTTCTGGGTCAAAAAGAACACTGTAGCTTCTCCCATCGTCTCTTGGCTTGCTTACCCTGGAGGTAGCCAGTCATCATGCTTTGAGGACACTCAAGCAGCCATGTTAAAGGACTTGTGAGAGGAGGAACTGAGTCCTTCCACCAACAGTCAGAACCAATTTGCTGGTCATAAGCCATCTTGGAAGTGGATTCTCCAACCTTAGTCAACCCTTCAGATGACTGTAGACCTGGCTGTATCTTTGACTACAATCTCATGAGAGACTCCAAGCCAGAATCACGTAGCCAAACTTCTTTTGAATTCTTGAATCATGGAAACTATGATAAATAAGTAGTGTTTATTATTGTTGTTTTTAACATTAAGTTTTGGGGCAATTTGTTAGATGCCAATAGGTAATTGTTAGAGTAGGCTCACTCTTTTTATTGTTATCTCCATTATTTAGTGAGGAAACTGAGGCTAAAAAAGATTTAAACCTAGGTCTGATGACCCCAAGCCTTTGGTCTTAATGGAAATAAGTTTCTCAGAGTTTTGGTTTATTACTGCTAACAGCTCTTTCTGAGAGGAAAACAAAAATTATTTTATTTTATTTTTGGGACGGAGTCTCACTCTGTTGCTGGGCTGGAGTGCAGTGGTGCGATCTTGGCTCACTGCAACCTCCGCCTCCCTGGTTCAAGCGATTCTCCTGCCTCAGCCCCCTGAGTAGCTGGGATTACAGGCCCGTGCCACCACGCCCAGCTAATTTTTGTATTTTTAGTAGAGATGGGGTTTAACCACATTTGCCACAATGGTCTCGATCTCCTGACCTTGTGATCTACCTGCCTCAGCCTCCCAAAGTGCTGGGATTACAGGCGCGAGCCACTGCACCCGGCCCAAAAATTATTTTTTTAAAACTGGGGGAAAACATTTTTATCAAGCAATGTTTATATTTATTTAAGTGTGTTAAAGGATCTGGGCTACTGTAACGCATGTGTAAATAGAAGAGGCAGTGTTTGACATTAAAGTTCTTTGAGATTTGTTTACATTTTACATGTTGTGTATTGGGTAGAAAGGATTTTAACTTGTTCAAAGATTTAACTGGGAGCAAAAAAATTTTTGCTGGCTTTTCTGCAAAGAAGGGAGGGGCTTGGGAATAGAAGATGGCAGAAAAAAAGTATAGGAAATGAGTTTTTTGAGACATTTAAGATAAAGAAAAAGCAAAGAGAGATGATAGAGATGGGGGTGAGGGTATGATTATGGTGATCATGATAGTTATTAATGTGACACGTACACGTCCCTGCAGCATCTGGAAGCATTCACTAATTTAATAATATACATTATGAGATTCTGCTTTACAAGGCTGCAGTCTACTCTAAATTTGAACTCTTTTAGACTCAGCTCCTTATGAGTTCCTAGAGGTGAACAGAACTCAATTCCCTACAGAAAAGGAATTTTGTGCCTAAGGATGTCTACTCTAAAACGTTTCTTTTTTTTTCTGTCTTTTAGAATTCAATGGTGCAAATCTATAAAGACAGAGCTTTAATGGCAAACCCTATTCTGTCTGGTTCTCCTTCCTAAGAGTTAGCTGAGAATATATTTGTCTAACTTTTCTTTTTAATATTCTCTGAAAGAAGACATTACATCACACATACTGAACTCTTACTTAACCTGGACTCTGTTAAGTAGAAACATTGGAAGGAGCC
This sequence comes from Homo sapiens, assembly GCF_000001405.40. NCBI lineage: Eukaryota > Metazoa > Chordata > Mammalia > Primates > Hominidae > Homo > Homo sapiens. The sequence continues at coordinate 56,032 of NW_013171813.1, read as the reverse complement.
AAAGACTGACATTTTAAATTAAGAAAAACAAACCAAATGAGCGAAATAGTTCCTCTGAGAAGTGTTTTGGCCTAGTGAAAATTCTCTTTTAATAAATGCAATTTAATATTCCTTCAACAATTATTTACTGAGCTCCTTGTATGTGCCAATTACACATGATCCCTATAGGCAAGAAGCTTACATTCTGGAGTTAGAAACAGGCTTGTAAGCAAATAATTACAATGCACTGTATTTGATGCATTTAATTAGAGGGGCATATGCAAAGGACAGAGTTATGGCACTCCTCGAGTGCACTAGAGAAAGCCTTCCTTCTGCAGATTCTTGAGATGGGTTTTGTAGGATGAACAGAAGTTTGCTAGGCAGATGGGGATCAGGATGTGAGAGGAAAGGATGAGCCTGTTAGAGGTATGAAATAGGCTGGCATATTTGGAGATTTGGGAAAAGTCATTATGATGGATGGATTAATTAATTAATTAACCACATTTATTAGATTAGTATATGTATGAGGCCCTGTACAGGGTGCTGGGAATACAGTGATTAAAAAGACAAAGTTCCTGTCCTCAAAAAACTTAAGAGTCCGGTGAGGGAGAGAGATAGATCAATAACCATGATAGGAGTGAGCACGAGGACCTGTGAGATCATAAGGAAGGGGCAGCCTTGGGAGTCATTCACAGCTTTCTGAAAGAGGTGACAGCTGAATCTGGAAAGACAAATGGGAATTAGCTGCCATGGGGTGGGAGAGCAAGAAAGGCATTCCTGGTGTTACATGTGAGTCTGTGGTGTGTGAGCACAGGACACATTCTGAACTGCTGGTAGAGCATCAAGTGTAAGATAGGCAAATTCCAGGGATGAACAGCATGCTAAGGAGTGTGGAGAGTGTTCCGGACGAAACGATTTTAGGCAGAGAAATGGCATGACCAAATTTTCCCTTTGGAAAGGTCACTGTGGCTGCAGCGTGGAGAATGGCTGGGGTATGGGAAAGGCATGATTCTGGAGTTGGATAGGTCAGTTAAGTGTTGCAGTTACCCAGGCAAGATGTGGTAGTGACATTAACGAAGGAGGGGCAGCAGGGATGGAAAAGAGTGGTGAATTTGTGAGATACTAAGGAGGTAGAGTCACAAGCAAGGTGAGGGCAGAATCATGTCATGATCAAAAGTGTGGACTCTGGGACCATAATGACTGGTTCTATTCCGGGCTCTATGCTTTGCTACTGTGTGAACTGGGGCAGGTTACTTACCTCCTCTGTGCCTCAGTTTCCTTATCTGTGATATGGGAAGGGTAATAATACCTTCATCTAGGGTTGCTGTGGGGATTAAAGTAACTAAAACATATAATGCTTGGAACATTGTCAGGCACATAGTAAGTAGTCCACAAGTATGTGTTATATGGTTAATTTGAGGAAAGAGAAGTCATAGGTGATGCCTACACTTGGGATATGGGCAATTGTGTGAATGATAATTCATTCACAGAGGGAATATAGGAGAAAGCAGAGCTGGGGGAACATGCTGAGCTTGAGGTGCCTGTGGACACCCTAAGTGGAAGCATCTTGTAGGCAGCTGGGTCGGTGGAGCTGGAAATCAGAAGAGATCTGAGTGGGATAAACCCTCTAGAATGGCAGGAAGAGAAATAGCTGCCGGGAAGAGAGCTAATAAAGGAAACAGATGAGGTGGTCTAAGGGGCCCAGCAGAGGCTGCAGACACTGAATTTGCAAGGTTGTGAGTCTAGGCTGCTGTGTGGTTTTCTCTGGCAGTCCTAACAGCCTGGGTGTAGTAGAGGACTGGAACAGCTGGATTGACCAGTGTTAGGGTTTTGCTGGTTATAACAGCCTTTTCTTAAATTTTTCAATTTTTTTTTTAAGTTCTGGGGTACATGTCCAGGATACACAGGTTTGTTACCTAGGTAAACGCAAACACGCGCATTTTTTCCTGTAGTATTTTAAAGTATATCTCAGACAATATTTATTTTTACCTGTAAATAATTCACTAAATATCAGATAATAACTTTTACAAAAAATCAGACCCATAATGCTGTTATCCTTCTCAACAAAACAAACGATGATTTTAAAAACTATTTTATGTTTATTGACATACTTAGCAAATAACAACAACAATAGCAACACTAATTTTTTGGAATGGGTATAGTTTGATAGGAGTATTAGTTAATGAATTTAAAATAAAAATGTTTAATCTGATGAGCAGTAATTATTTTATATCATCCATTATTCAGTTTTTAAAATCATAATCCAAACAAGGTCTACTCTTGTATTTGGTTGGTGTAAGACTCTTTTAATTCGTAACTTCTCTCTCTCCTTCCCTTCTTTTCTCCTTCTCACCCTTCTCTCCTGCTCCTCTCTCTTTCATGCTATGTTTATTGTGAATAAACTGAGTCATTTTCCTATAACATTTTTCACATCCTGGATTTAGATTAATTGTATTCTTACAGAACATACATGTTCCTCTTTCCCTCTATCTCCTGCAATTGGGCTGGTAGGTCGGAGGCTTAGATTTCTGTCAATAACACTACATAAGTGGTGCTGTGTACTGCGTCACATCAGGAGGCACATAATGCCTGTGTTTTACTCTTTTAGTGTTAAGATTAATTTAGAGGACTCCGGTGTTGTCAGCCTGATTGAGCCATTGTCAGGTTCTTCAGCAACATCTTACCTAATTATTTTAGCACTGAAGATCCTTCATTTCATTAGGGGCTGCAAAATGGTAATTATTTTTCTGTGATTTTTCTGCATTTATTAGTTGGAATTCTCTTTTATAAAGAGTAATTTTCTTTCATCAACTATTTGGTTAACCAACAATGCAATTTATACTAAAATAGTGCAAAATAAATGGTTCTTTCCTTTTATTATTTCCAAAATAATTAGTTTGGTGCTTTAGCAACTTCCAAAGGTGACCAATTATTTTTTTAAAGTATCATTTAAATTTAGATTTAAAAGAACGGATCTATTGCCGACTTTTTTTTTTTTATGCTCAAATTGTCTCATCTTTGGTTAATGGGAATGCTTTCAAGTTGCTCTGGATCCCTGACAACCCTGGTAGCTCTTGATAACGTTCTTGTTTTATGGTATGAGACAATGTGCCAAGTTCACTGTATACATTTTGTACCCTTGTCCTCAAATTACCCATTTCTCCAAGGAGTTGTGATTTCTGTTAGTGGTAAATGGTGTTTGAATACTACAATCCAGGTCTCTGCGCTGTCATTGCCACCGGACTTTCATTGCTTATGGGCTTTTTCAGTGGGCAGATTATTTAAAAAGAGAAAATCATCGCAAGCTTGTATTTATTTTCAATTTAAATGTTAAGATTATAGGGTTTCTTAATATAAAAACTTTTCTTCGTTTATACTTTTAAAAATACTGAAATGCTTGGTTCCTAACTATATTGATGTAGCTACTTATTTGTTTTAAAAATATTATTACTAATATCATGACCAACAGCAAGACTACTGGATAAATGATAAGATTTCTCGGCTCTTCTCTGTGTTTTGACAGCATATCTCATTGAGAATACAGTCAAAATATTGTTGTTTGTTTTTTTTTTTTTTTTGAGGCAGAGTCTTGCTGTGTTGCCCAGGCTAGAGTGTAGTGGCGCCATCACGGCTCACTGCAACCTCCACTCCTCAGGTTCAAGTGATTCTCCTGCCTCAGCCTCCTGAGTAATTGGGACTACAGGCACGTGCCACTATGCCTAGCTAATTTTTTGTATTTTTAGTAGAGGCAGGGTTTCACTGTGTTAGCCAGGATGGTCTCAATCTCCTGACCGCGTGATCCGCCTGCCTCGGCCTCCCAAAGTGCTGAGATTACGGGTGTGAGCCACTACGCCCAGCCAAAAATATTATGTTTTAAGGTTGGTTGGAATAATTGTTTTCTCTCTGTGGTTATGACACCAGCTGGATGTACAGCAAGGTTCATTTGTTTCAGTTTCTTTTTTATTTTTAAGAATTGATTTTCCCGTTTCTTTTTTCATTTTTGATATGTAAAACACTTACATGGTTCAAAATCAACACTGTATAGTGAGGTACATTCAGAGAAATCTCTCTTTCATTCCTATCTCCTCTACCCTGTTCCTTTACTCCTTCTGTAGGTAACCACTGTTACTGGTTTATGTATCGTTTCATATTTTAGCTAGTGTATCATTTGGATAGATTCCTAGAATAGGGATTGCTGAGTCAGATGTACATGCATATGTAACTTTGCTAGATATTTTATAACACCATATTTTTAGCTCTTTGTAACTGTAATCATATAATCAAAAAGGATAATGTAGTTTCTTCCTTTCATGAATTTTTACTTTGTTGTCCTTTAATAGAAGACTTTAAAATTTCCAGGAGAATGGACCTTCCTGTTTCTTTGTTTTGTTTTTAAGTTTCTAGCTTTGTTGTATTATGATCAGACTGTTGCTTCTAATATTTCTAGATTATAGAACCACTGGTATTTTCTTTGGTATTATACTTTTAATATATAACCAAATTTTTGTCACCATTCTATTTGCTATTGAGGAGGCATATTTTCTATTACTAGGATGTAGTGTTTGATACATATTCCTAAACCTATTTAATGTGTTATGTCATTCAAATCTTTTATGGTCTTACTTATTTTTTGTCCACCTAACAGGTCTTACTAAGAGTAGTTTATTAAAATCTCCTGTTATTTGTGTATTTGTTTTTCCTTGCATCTCCCATAATTTCTGCTTTATATGGATGGTTTTTGTGCTATTTTGGTGCATAGATAATAATAACTGTTACATCATCATTTTGAATTATGGTGTTTCACACTCTAAAATATTCTTCTTTGTGTTGTTAATGATTTTTTAAAAATCTGTCTTAAAATCAAGACCACAATCTTTGCTTTTTTATTGCTTCTGTTGTTGTCACTACCCAGCTGTGATAGAATGGGCTCCCCAACCAAAATTTGGTTTGGATGTCAAGATTGGTGATGCCACTCATGCGCCTAGAAGATATGAAAAGGTTATGGTTCACATAATGAGGCTTTCTGTGAGAGCAGGGCAGGCTCCCAAACAGGTTCAAAAATAGCTTGAATCCAGTAGTGCCAGCTGCTTGGGAGGCCTAGGTTGGAGGATTGCTTGAGCCTAGGTGTTCAAGACCAGCCTGGTCAACATAGCAAAAACCTAGGGCGGGGGGAAAAAGATAGAAATCCTCTTCTTGGGAAGAAGTATTTAAAAAAAATAAATAACTTGAGAATAGGGAAAAGATACTGGTTTGGCTTTTATTGTGGTTAAGGGTGGGGCTATAATAATAGTTCTTACGCAGTCTGGGCCTTGTGTTGTTTGAACTTTCCACTGGAACCAAAGGAAGGAACACCTGAGCTTTCTTATCAGCTTGTCCAAAGGTAGGGCAATATTAGTTTCATTCCATTACTTTATTCTCTTCTTAAGGAGCTCCAATTATAGCATGGTGGATCTTCCTTGACTGTCTTCTGTTTCATTGATTGCCATCTTAGAGGCTTTCTGCCATAATGACCCCTTTTTCCTTTTTTAAAATTTCATATTCATTTCCTTGGGTGTTTTACTGCTTTATTTCAGTGTGCCTTATTACATTTTCCTTCAAATCTACTTTCCTTTATATAGCTCTTCTTCCTATGTCTTGGTCTGGTACTTCCTTACTGTCTTGTGAGGTTTTTGTTTGTTTGTTTGTTTGTTTGTTTTTAATGGTTTTAGGGTTTTTAATTTGATATTTTATCAATAATTTTTAGTTCTCTTTTTTAGCACAATGATTGGATAACCTAGCCTGCTATCAATAAAAATAGAAATCCCTACCTAGTCATAGATGGTTTTCTGAAGTTGCAAGTGTTCTACCAGAAGTCTGAGCAAGAATATGCAAAAGGGAGATGCCATATTTCTTTGATTCAGAGATATTGGGTGGCTATTCACTGGCTTATTTATGACTATAAGCTTTAAAACTTTTCCCAGAACTTTCCTTTGCCTGTCTTATCTCATGCTATTTCGAATCTCTGTCCAGCTGTGAAGCCCTGTAACCTTGTATTTATTCTGTTTGAAGGGTCGATTCTCCTAAGAGAGCGCTTTCAAATATGTAGATAAATTATCAAACTATTTAGTATGTTTATTGGGCAGTGTTTGTTTTTCTCATTGGGAAGATAAAAGGGGCAAAATGTAGAAGTAACTTGTACTTCCATGTCTTCCTGAGCTTAGTCTAGAATCCCTTATTTTGTCTAAAATAGATTCTAGATCTTGGGAGAAGGATAAATCTAGTTATATGGAATAGAATCCTTTGTTGAGATATTTGTTCCAAGCATTTGGATTTCGGAAGATCAGTATTTTCTAAACCTTCCTGTATTTGAAAAAGCTTAAAAAAAATTATGACCTGTATTCAGGAATTAACTGTATTTGTTCTAAGACATTTTTGTTTCACTCTTAGGTGAGAAAAAAAAATTACTAAAAATGACAAGTAGAAGACTTGAGGAGTCCATGGGGGCTGTTCAGATGGGATTGGTCAATATGTTCAAAGGATTTCAAAGCAAGGTTTTGCCACCCCTGAGTCCAAAGGTGGTTACAGAAGAAGAAGTAAACCGAATGGTAATGTATCCGGGAATTAATATGTAAAATACTTAATGCAATCTCCTTAGGAGAATGACAGTTGCTACTTGGCATTCTCAGAATGCCAAACAGAATTACTGACTGATTAATATCAATTTAGTTATAATGGTAGCTTTCTGCAGAGTGTAGATACCTTTTAAAGCCTGAGAAGTTTTGAAATTGCATACATACTTCAAAGTAGAGGCTTGATTTGCTTAAACTAATCAGTTGAAGTGAGACTTTACAAATGAACTATTAAGATTTTCTAAATATTAGGTAGCACCATGACAAACTGTCATTTGTTTAGTTCAAAAACAGTCAAATATCAGAATTTCATAGGATTCAACCTAATTATTTACTACCTACCGATTGGCAAGAGTAATTTTTGTTTGTATATTTATAGAACACAGAGCATTAAAATAATGACTAAGTGGTATTTAAGAAAAATAGGTATTTTTCCTGTTCTTTAAAATAAAACATATTTATAGCTTTAATTATTTATAATGATTGGTGATAATTTATGAACCACATGCTGTAGAAAATATTAGTAAAAATGTATAGTGCCAGGGATAGTATTCACTACATTTTAAAAACTAATCTTAAGTTACATTCCAATTAGAGAAATAAAATCAATCATTATTCTCTTTTGTGATGGTTGTTGGTACATATTTAAAGAAACTCCTGGCATTTTGCTTTTAAGACCTAATTATTTTAATTTAAATCACAATATAGCTGACACCTCTTAACATTTTATTGTCCTTATCTGGGTTCCAATCAAAAAGATCTTAACCAAGTTGAAAGCTGTATTAGAAATATACCTTCATTTAAATGGATTAAATCACAGAAATAAAATTTGTAGAAAAATAAGCATTTTTAAAGTACATTGTGTTTAACCCAAGGCAACATAAAGCAGCTAAGTTATATACCCTCAAATGTTTTGTAAAAATCTTGGCATATACTTGAGCATTGTGTAGCTGCCAATGATCATAATCTCCCTGCACATATAGTAGGAACATTCTAGAACCACAATAACATTGGTTCTGGGTAACTAATCCCTTGTTGGGTTAGTTTTATTTAAATGCTAGGTTACTTTTTTTTTCTCATAACATTGGAAAGGGTAAAAGCATTTTGTGTTCTTACTGGGGTGTGTGAATGTGACTGGCTGTGGGATCTGCTGATTAGCTCAGAGCTCTTTCAAAGCGAGGTCTAAATGCACCCTTGTGATGTCTCTAAAGTTCAAACTCATTCCTAAGTGATGTAGTCACACTTCCTAGATCTTTGCAATTTTATAAGATTTCTCTCTAACATCATATCATAGTTAAACACCCAAAAGCTTTGTTTGCATATTGTAATGTTAGTTGAGAAATAGAGGTATTTCAAACTCCTGGTTTTTGAAGCCCTTGAGTGACTTTACAAACTGAGAGTTTTATGCACAGATGCCTCTTCTGAGCATAAATGTTAAGCTCTTTGGACATGTTCCTGTGCAATTTCTTGACTTTTTTCTCTCAGGTTCTTTTGTGTGATTCCTTCAAAATCATAAGGAAACAGCAAACACATGTCATTTTCAATTACCGTGCAAAGACCTCAAAAGTGCGTGGGTACTTCTCTTATATAATTTACTTATTTTAAATATTTTATAAGGGAACTTAGTGGCATTCCAGAATTATCCTGAAAGCTGCAAACACAAATTATTCATTACTGGTACTTATGAAAACACTTTTTCAGTACATCCACTTAAGAATCTTTGGTTCTTATTGTTTTACATTCTAGCTTACACCCTCAGAGTTCCTGAAGGAAATGTCCCTGACCACCGAGCAGAGACTGGCAAAAACACGTTTGATGTGCCGACCACAGATCATCGAACTCTTAGATATGGGGGAAACAACACATCAGAAGGTAGCTGCTCTCTGTCGTACTTACATATAAAGTGGGCCCTGGCACAACACCAAAATTCCAGAACAATAAGTAAAATTTGTTTCTTGGCTACCTAATCCTTTATTGGGTTTGTTTTCAATCCTCCTTTTCTGCCTCTGAATGTCTTCATATCTGTGATTTGGTATGGTGAAGACTGCAAGTGCAAACCTCTTTTAAAATAACTTTTGACTAGTTATACTTCTTTCTTAGCTACTTCTGAATACTATTTGACGCTATAGTTTACACAGGTTAGGAGTAATTCTAAGAATTATATTAGTCAAGCCCAATTAAGTTATTGTCTTAGTGTAACAAGTAATCTCTCCTTATCTGAGCTGCCCACTAGAAAAGAAGGAGTTGGAATTGTTAATTAAAGTAGGCATTCGTTGTCTATTCTGGCTCATTTCCAGTAACAGACATATCCTTTTGTCTCTAAAGAATAGTGATTTTATCATGTTTCTATATTCGAATGTAAACCATACCTTCCAGGCTTTAGGAGCATGTGATTATAGAAGGTCTGGTTTCCTATTTTTTAATTAATTTCTTAAATTATATCCTTTACTTTTAATGCACAAATTATGGTATGAACCTCCAATAGTTGGGCTGCTGGGGAGATTAACCTCTTCTCAAAGAGTTCCTCAGAATTTTCCTCTGAAAATTCCTGAGAGTTTTTCAATGTTATGTTCCTCATGAAGAATGAGTCTTTGAGGCTTGTCTGCTGTTACTGCTACACCATTGCTTCCTTTGTCTAGGATATGCATAAGCTTCACTGTTCTGAGCATTGCTAGCTTTTTATTGTTTTGTCTGTTTCCCACAACCACCCTCCAAATTTGAGTGGAGGGAACATGGTCTTTTCCAAGACATTTCTTCTAATTAAGGACCATTTCCTCTTTTCTGAAAGCATAACACATAACAGGCTATGAGGAGTTTTTCATGTGTACTACTAGTGTATTTTAATGTGTTTTGACTCTGCTATAAAGGATGAGGAAATCAGATACTTTACACTTTCTCTCCTCTCCTCTTTAATTCAGTTGGTTATTTTTAATTTATATGCTGAGATTTAATCATTTATCTCTTAGATGGGTGGCAGTCATCTACTAATTTCTTCAATAAGAGCTTATGAAGACTGTATTTCTTTGTTTTATGTGTTTGATAATATTTGTGTCTTGCCTTTATACTGAACTGCAGATTTGTTACTTATGAAATTCTTGGGCCACAAATTTTCATAACAGCTTTGCAGGCATTTTCCCTATGACCTTCTGACTTTAAATGATGGTATGTAGAAGTCGGAAGCCAGCCTGATTTCTCCCTCATAAGTTAATCTTTTAGCCCATGTGCCCAAAGATTGTTTGTTATTATTTAAAGTTCAGTATTAGGATACACTACATTTTTCCTGAGGTACTGTGCGCCTTTATTTTATTTTTAGAAAGTTTTTCTTGAATTATCAAGTATTTTTTTCATATCATTTTTCAATGATGAATATGTTGGACCTTCTTTGTCTGCCCTTCTACAGCTTGCATTTCCTCTCTCATTCATTTTTAACTTTCTGTTCATTTCCATTGCATTGTCATTACATTCATTAGGCTATCCTCTGTGTCCCTTACTTTGAGTTATGTATATATTTCTTTTATGCTTCATTTTTTACCAGACCAGACCTGGTTCAACAGACCTCTTTAATCATCCCGCTTCTCACCACTTCCTCCACCACCATTCCAGTTTAAGCCACCATTATCTAGAATACTGACATAGCCTTCCTATTTCCATCTCATTCTCCCTCTGCCCCCATTATCACAAAGCAGTAAAAGTAATCTTTAAAATGTAAATCAGAACATATTGCTTCCATGTTGTCTCATAGCATTTGATACAGTGAGCATCTCTTTTTTGTACCCTTTTATTCACTTGTATCTGACATGGCATACTCATTTGATTTTCTTTCTACTTTTCACTGGTTGATTTTTGCTTATTTTATTTGTTGGATTATTCACTCATTTCTGATCACTAAATATTAGAGCTCCCAGTACTTGGTACTTGAACTTCTTTCTCTTGTGAACTCACAACTTAGGTGACTTCTTCTAGGAAAAAAGGCTTTAAATTCTACTTTTTGTTGTTTACTTTTATATTTATATCTCCTGCCACTGTCTATCCCCTGAACTCTGGATCATATAGTCAGCTTAATGTATGGTTGGCAGCTCAAACTTAATATATTTAAGATCTAATTGTAGCTTTACATTCCATCTCTAAAAGCCTGATCTTTCCTCTTTGTCTCTTTCTTCCTGCTTTTCATACCCCCACTTATATGTTTTCCTAGACCAAACACTTTGGAGTTGTATTCCTGATGCCTCTCTATTTTACATCTTATGATCCAATGATAAGTGCTATGAATTCTGCCTTCACAAATGTGTCTTTAATCATACTGCTTCTCACCATGTTCTCCACCACCATTCCAGTTTAAGCCACCATTATCTAGAATATCAAAATTGCCTCCCTGCTTCCATCTCGTTCTCCCCCTGCCCCCATTATCACAAAGCAGTAAGAATGTTTTTTTAAAATGTAAATCAGAACATGTTACTTCCATGTTTAAAACCATCCAGTGACTTCCCATTACTCATATAATAAAATCTAAACTCAGTGCCAAAACCTCCAAGGTCCTGTACCATCTAGTCCTGCCTTCCTCACGGACCTCTTTGCCTTCTACTCTTCTCCCTCTCAGTCTCTTCTCAGTGAATTTTCCCTATGCTGCTCTTCAGACACTCAAAGGTAATTTCCACCTGAAGGACTTTGCACTTGCTTTCCCTTCTAACTGGAGTGCTATTCTAAAATCTTAGTGTGACTTGCTTCAGACCTCTACTTAGAAGTCATCTCAGAGAGGCCTTCTCTTGACTGCCTATCTAAAAGAGCAGCCACCTCCCAGTCTGCCATCTCCTTGTCCTGCTTTAGCTTTTTTTCACAGCCTTTTCACTACCTGACTTTATGTTCTGTATTTCTATATTTTTTGTATGATCGCTTGAGCTTCAAGAATGTCAACTTCATGAGGTTAGGGCTTTTTTTGGCTTTGTTCACTATGTTCAGCATACAAAAAAGAACGTGGCACATGTTGGAAACTCAATATTTATTGAATGAAGACATGAATTTTTAATCTCTCCTAACTGCTCACTTCTTTACATTCTTAAATATTTGCTTTGTGCTCTTTGACTTTTTTTTCCATTATGCTCTTTGAGCTTATGGTGAAATGATGTAGTTAAGACTGATTGCTTAATGGCAGAAATTCAATTAGCCAGAAATTAAAGAGTATATACTGTATTATTCCACTTATATAATCAAGAAAACTAACCTAAGATGTGAGAAGTAGATTAGCTGTGTTACCTTTGTCATAAATCAAGTGACCATATATTTAATAATTGGTTTGGGGGCTTTCTAATCTGGTACATTTATTTTTCTGATAAATCTTGTGCTAATATCTCATTATCATTACTGTGGTAAGTAACAGTATATGATATGTAATAATATAATTATCATGTTGTGCTACCTGATATAGCAAATCCTCCTATCTTGTTCTTCGAATGTATCTTGTCTATTCTTGGTCCTTTGCATTTCCGTATAAATTCAGTCAGCTTTTTTGTTTCAAAAAAAAAACTGCTGGGATTTTTTTTTTTAATGTATTGCATTGAATTTTCAGATAAATTTGGGGAGTATTTGACATCCTGAAAAAATTTCTTTTAATTTATGAAAATAGTGTATTCCTGCATTCAGTTAGGTCTTCCTTAATTTCAGTTAAGGTCTTCCTTAATTCCTTAAAACAATAATGTTTTTAGTTTCTGGATAAAGGTCTTATACATCTTTCATTGGATTTGTTTCTATGTGTTTTACATTTTAGGATACTATTTTAAGTAATATTGTTTATAAATTTCATTTCCTAAATGTTCATTGCTAGTACCTAAAAATAGAATTGGTTTTGATATGTTGACCTTGTACTCAATGACCTTGATAAATCACTTATTAATTCTAATAAAAGAATTATTAGAATGATTTATTTGTAGGTTATTTTGAATTTTTGAAATAAGCAATTACTTTGCCTGGGGAAAATGACAGTTTTGTTTCTTCTTGTTTGATTTCTAGTATTAAAACAACCTTGAATTTCTGAGATGAACCCAACTTGGTCATGATGTGTTATCGTTTTTATATAGTGCCAGTTTCAGTTTCAGTTTGCAAATTTTTTTTCTCTTTCTTTCATCTATCTGTCTATCTGTCTATGGTTTATGAATGAGACTGGCCTATAGTTTTCTTTTCCCTTAGTGTCTTTCTCAGATATATAAAGGAGGTTATGCTAACGTTATAGACTGAGTTGGGAAACATTTCATTTTTTTGTTTTTCTTTTCTTTGGGACAGTTTCTATAATACTTGAGTTGTTTCTTTTATGTTTGGTAGAATTTGCTTGTAAAGCTATCTGGGTTTGGAATTTTCTCTGTAAAAGGGTTTGTTTACAGATATAATTTCTGTAACAGTTTTAGAACTATTCAGATGTTCTGTTTCTTCTTGTGCCAGTTTTGATACATTTTTATTGTATTTTTCTAGGAATTTGTATTTTTATCTATATTTTCACATTTATTGACATAATATTTATTATTTTTTTACTGAATTTGGGTTCTATTGTAATATTCCCATTTCCATTCTTTCTATTTGTTCTTTGTGCCTTCTGTCATATTTTCTTGATCAAACTCATGAGGTATTTTGTCAATTTTATTAATCTTTTTAAAGACCTGAATTTCACTTTGTTGTTTTTATAGTATAGTTACTTTTATTTCATTAATTTCCTCTCCTGTTTTTGTCATGTCAATTTTTTTCTTTATTTGGATTTATTTTGCTATTTATTCTAACTTATTAAGATGGATACTTACAGCTGCAGTTTTCAAACTGTGTGCCAAGGTGCCCCAGGGCGCAACCGTGAACTCACAGGGCATCATTGGATAGTCTGAATTTTCAAGGGAAACCTGGCACTACCCAAAATCTACTGGATGCTAAACAGGCTACTAGCTTGGGGTAATTCGTAGTTTCAGCATTGGATGATGCTATATTCACTTTGATGATGTCATACTTTACAAACCTGGCTTCTCAGTGGTTGGTTAAATAAAAAGCAAGTACTTTGTTAAAATCAAAATAGAACAGGAAATGAGGGGTCCAAGTCCAATTTGGTTCTGTTGTGCAGTGCCCAACCAGGGCACACATCCCATTAGTAAGCTAGTTATTTGTATTATTGTTTTGTATGATGAGAATTCATTTAGAGTAACCACATATTTACCCCTTTATTATTCTCCTTTCCTTCCTGCATCTCTGAACTTCTAAGAGAAATTCTCTTCTCCATAAAGAATACCCTTTGGTATTTCCTTTAGAAGTTGGTGACAACATTTTTCAATTTTTATTTCTCTGAAAATGTGTTTATTCAAACTTCGTTTTTGAAGGGACTTTCCCCAGGTAAAAAATACTATGCCTGCAGAGGTTTGTTTTTTTTTTTTCAGGATTTAAAAAATTTTATTCCTCTGCCTTCTGACTTGTGATGTTGAAAAGTAGGCATGTGTTTTTGCTCCTTGAAAGTTAAATATTCTATTTTTCCCTCCAGTTTCTTTTACACATTCTTTTGTCCTGTGTTTTAGTGCTTTTACAATGATGTACTTGGGTATGGATTTCTTTTTGAATATTTCCCATGTTTAGTTTTAATATCCACAGGTCTACGTAGTATTTTCTTATCTTCCCCAGTCATTTTTGTCAATGTGTGACTATAACAATAATTTACTCTTTCAACTGAAGTTTTCAGGAATTGACCTGGATCAGGCATTATTCCAGCCCTTTCCATCAGAAATTATATTTCAGAACTACACTCCCTGTGAAGTCTATGAAGTTCCACTGATTTTGAGGAACAATGACAAAGTGAGTATGTTCACTGGGGTGGGTGAACTGTTCCAGGATATATGAGAATGGGTTAAAGTAAAATGAGATCTTGAGGGATCTTTGATAAGTTCTTTAATTTGATAGACTTAGGAAAATAGTATGAAAACATCTTCTTTGATTGTAAACTTAATGACGACAAGGCTGTGTCTGTTTGTTGCTATATGTTGAGTCCTAACCAGTGCCTAACACGTAGTGAACTCCCAACGTGTGCACTAACTTTTGTTGATTAAAGGATTGACCAGATGAATGTCACGGGGTTCTTATGTATGACAAATTGGGCTAGGTTTTTATTTAAGATAGGGAAATTACTATTAATGTTTATGTAGTCTTCCTTAGAGACATCATTTCCCCAATTCAAGATATAAACCCTACTCATGAGAATTGCAATTGTTGAGCATATATATATGTATGTCTGTATATATATATATGTATGTGTGTGTGTATATATATATACATATATATATATATATATTTTTTTTTTTTTTTTGAGACAGAGTTTCACTCTTGTTTCCCAGGCTGGAGTGCAATGGTACGATCTCGGCTCACTGCAACCTCCGCCTCCTGGGTTCAAGCGATTCTCCTGCCTCAGCCTCCCCAGTAGCTGGGACTACAGGCATGCGCCACCACACGCAACTAATTTTGTATTTTTAGTAGAAACAGGGTTTCTCCATGTTGGTCAGGCTGCTCTCAAGCTCCTGAACTCAGGTGATCCACCCACTTCGGTCTCCCAAAGTGCTGGGATTATAGGCGTGAGCCACCGTGCCTGGCCGAGCATTTATATTTGTATTTTACAATGCATTTATAGTCTGCAAATTGTACCTTTTTAAAAGCCTTCTTTTCACTTCTAAAAAATGTAGGTCCCTTTCCTTTTTTTCTGTCTTCTTCTTTCTGTAGAAGATAGCCTTCAAAGTTTGTCTACAGTCAGTTTTGAAGGCTTCTCTCACTGTCTATGTCTTGTCTCTTTGCAATTGTAATGGAAGATTTCTTTTTCAGCCTTATGACTTTTTCTTTAGAGATAAATTAGGGTTTATTTCAAGAAAAGATATTAAATGCCTGAAGAGTTTCTTGACACTTAACAATAATGAAAGAAAGTAATGCAGAAGTTCAGCATGAAGCATACTTGAGTGTGAAAAGTAATCAGATGGGGAGGAAGGCATTGGAGAGATGGGAAATCTGGGTATAAAGACAAGGAGGAATACTTTCAGGGGTCTAAGAATGTGGAGACAAAAAATTCTAGCTATAAGACAAAATAGAAATTAAGTAAAGACTATGCAAGAATCCAAAGCAAATGGACTTGCAGTTATATTTGGTACAGCAGCTCATTAAGGGAATCAGCGATGCCTTGCAGAGATCAGTGGGGTGATTTAGTGACAGCAAAGCCAGACTCTGGAGAAAATGGTCTGTTTCATTCTTTTCTGCAGTAGCATTAGTAAGAGAAGCTCATGGGTCAGAAATGAAAGGGAAGGAAAAGAACTGGAGGTACACAAGATTGTGTTCCTAGACCTCAAGAAGAGGTGCATTGCACAGACATTAGGGCTCTATCTTTTCATGCAGTTCAGTTCTCACTTCTGACTCTCTTTTCCCTTTCTATATTACTTTTTGACTCTTGCTGAGGTATTTTTAGCCTACTAAAGTGGTACAGTCCAAAGCATCCTCTCTGACCTTAAACAAGAAATGGTCATCAGTGGTTGTTTAATAGCAAGTCGGGGTAAAGGGCACGTGTGAGTTTTGTCTGCCAGACACTCAGTTCTCATGGATAACCAACATCTCTTGATAAGATGCAGCCAGAGTGCTGGCCACATGGAAAGAGGGTCCCATCCTAGGAACGCCCAGCTACCAAGAGGCAGACAGTTCTCTCCAGGCGAGGCAGGCTTGTCCTCTGGTGACTCCAGGACCCTCATGCCAGGTGGCTGATGTGACCCTGCTCCTCTGCTTCTTTAGTTCACAGTTTCATAAAGAACCATGGGGAGAGATTTGGGGCCCCGAGAAATGCTTTCACCTTTTATTTGCTTCCTCACTGTCGTGGGGTACAAAAGATAGAGCCTGTCAGGTTATTACTTTTGTGTCTCCGTCCCTCACACACAGAGGATGAGAATAAGCCAGAACACTTGTGATTTTAATTGGGTTAAAATGATAAGGACCCACACTCCAGAGTCAGACTAATCTGGGTTCAGATTCCAGCAGAAGAATAAGACTTTAAAAGAATGGAGCTGTTGGGAGCTGCTCTGAGACTGCTCTGGGGGATCTCCTGCTGCTCTTTGCTCTTGCTTTGTGGTGTTTACTCAGGACCATCCCATGGAGAGGTGGGGTGGAGTTTGGCTGGGACTTGACTCCCAGCACCTTTGCTTGGTGGAGCTGTACTACTGTAGACAAGTGTCTGTAGCATGGGAGTCAAAATGAAGCTCAAAGATTATGGTGAGGATGAGGTGGCATATAATGTGCTATAGATGGGCCATTGAAGGGGTGCAGGAAGTGTGACTTCTCTCAGAGCAGTTCTCAAATGCTCAAATGTTGGGAAATCCAGCTTAACTCCATTATGTGGGTGAGGTTTTAGCTGATTAAAGAGCCCTTGAAGATAGTCACTTTTTTTTTTTTTTTTTTGAGACAGAGTCTTGCTCTTTGCTCCCAGGCTGGAGTGCAGTGGCCCGATCTCGGCTCACTGGAACCTCTGCCTCCTGGGTTCAAGTGATTCTCCTGCCTCAGCCTCCCCAGTAGCTGGGACTACAGGCACATGCTACCACACCCGGCTAATTTTTTGTATTTTTAGTAGAGATGAGGTTTCACTGTATTAGTCAGGATGGTCTTGATCTCCTGACCTCGTGATCCTCCTGCCTCGGCCTCCCAAAATGCTGGGATAACGGGTGAGCCACTGCGCCTGGCTGATAGTCACTTTTAAATGATTTAATTTTAAAATGAACAAAGACTTGTAATAATAATAAAAATAACTAAGAATAATAATGTTAATAAAAATGAAAGCTAGAAGGTATTGGGTGCTTACTTTGTATGGGATAAAGATAAGTACTATCATCTCCTTTTATAGTTGAGAAGACTGAAGTTCAGACCTGACCAAGGTCACACGTCTAGTAAGTAGTTGATGGATTTCAGTCTGTGTTTAACTCTGCTTTTTCACATGCACGATGTTCATCATCATGTGTTTCCCTGCAGATTCCAAGGTTGGTGAAAGTTGTGGAAGAAAGTTCGCCTTACTTTAAAGTAATCAGCCCCAAAGATATTGGCCACAAAGTGGCTCCTGGAGTGCCTTCCATATTCCGAATCCTCTTTACTCCAGAGGAGAACAAGGTAATACCAGGAATGGCAAGAAATTGGACACTTGTACTGGCAGATTGCAGTTCAATTCTGAATATTTACAGAGGCGGTAGTGCTGGTGGTGGTGGTGGTGGTGGTGGTGGTATTGATGGTGGTCTTGGTATTGACATTTGTGTTGTTGTTGTTGGTGGTATTGGTGGTAGTGCTGGAGGGTGGTGGGTAGTGGTGGTAGTGTTGGTGTTGGTAGTATAGATGGTGGTGATATTGTTGTCATTGATGGTGGTGATGGTATAGATGGTAGTGGTAGTGTTATTGATGTTGGTACTGGTGTTGTTACTATTAGTAGTGTTGGTGGGTAGTGGTGGGTGATGGTGCTGGTGTGTGTAGATGGTATTGGTATTAGTAGTATGGTAGTGTAGTTGGTGGTAATATTGTTGTCATTGATAGTGGTAGTGGTGGTGGTGGTGTAGATGGTGGTGGTATTGTTGTCACTGATGGTGGTGGTAGTGGTGATGTTAGTATTTGTAGAGTTGGTGGGTGGTGGTGGTGTAGATGGTGGTGGTGATGGTGGTGTAGATGGTGGTGGTGCTGTCATTGATGGTGGTATAGGCGGTGGTAGTCACGAGAGGAATGCTGAGACAAAGGATAAAGATTTTGGCTTCTAGGAAGTTTGGGGCCTTAATTGGTTATGACTTTCTTCCCCAGATTCTAACTAGTTTGCAAAAGAGATCCAAGACTCAAACATAGAGATAATATCATAGTTTCAGCCTCAGTAATGGTAAAGCTAGAGCTGAGAGCAGAGGCCTGCCTGGCCTGCTCACCCCCATCAGCTCACAGGCAGTCTAAGAAGAGCCTGCAGTCAAAAAGGAGGCCATTTTCTCTCAGTACCACTGCAGTGGTGGGGAGGGGAATGGAGCCCAATCTCACTCTCCTCAGTCATGGAAATTCCAGTTCCTTCTAGGAGAGAAGGAGCAGGTATGGGGGCCTGAGGGTGGAGGCTTCCTCCCCACCCCTTCTCCAGGGAGTAGAATTGTTGGTCAGGTTTTGTTCTCTGTGGGCCTAAATGGGGACTTAGGAGGAGGAGAAGAGTTTTACCAGCATGATTGAAGGAGTGAGGACAGAGAACAAGTCTTAAATATGCAGAACAAAATGCAGGCTGTGTATCATGTTAATAGCAGGCATGCTTATCTGTGTTGCACTCTTATGGTTGGAGTCAGTAGAGCACAGTGGAGTCAGACAGAACTAGCTTGGAGTCCTTGCTTCTCCACCGCTAGTACCTATCGGCTGCTGTCAATATCATTACCAGTATTCCCTCTACTATTGCTGTTGTTACTACTTTTCTGGAGAGCAAGGATAGAGAATTTAATGTGGTTTGTTAAGTATGTACTCCTTGTGGTGAGTGGTTAAAAATTCCGTTATAATAATACCATTGCTATAATTTTGCCACTTTGTAGTATTACCATTTATATGTTAGGTTGTGTTTAGGAAACTACAATTTTGTTTGAGGTTCTACTGAAATAAATAAAAAGATAAATAACTGCAGATGTAGGGCTTTTTGTTGCATATTGTTGAAGTCCTCATTTTTTCTGGAGGCTCTATATCTGAATATTGTCTGTGGGGAGAACAGGGTCTGGATTTACTGTGGGTGTGAGATTCCTACACCCTCATTTTTGTAGGAAGCTGATTATAATCCTTTGTGCAGCTTGAAATACAAAGCATGCTGGATTTGAGGAGGTGGCTTTCCTTAGTTTTTTTCTGTGCTGGAGAAAATAGGTCTTCTGTTGGATAAGTATCGTTGTATCTGTACCTCATCTGACTGAAAAAGGGATACACAAGACTTTCTGGAGATGGAATGTTCTATATTGGCATGAGGATTATGTGGCTGAATTCATTTGTCAAAACATTTATATTTGTGCTTTTCAGTATATACATAAATTTTAGCTAAAAAAACCTGTATAACAATAGAAGGGGGAGGGAGTGGATAGAGGTATAGAGGGAACCAGAATGATAGAATGTTAAGAGTTTTTGAATTTGAGTGATGGGTACATTGGGGGTTTGTCATGCTAGTCTGTCTTCTTTGTGCATGTTTTAAATTTTCCATAATCAAAAGCTAGAAGAAGAGAGAGATTTTATTACTGTTTATCCTGCAAAGAAATAGTTGAAATGTATTTAAAATATGTTGCTATGTAGTTTATAAATATGAAATGCTAACATTTCTGGTGAGGATTATTGCTTCACTGTGTTTTGTAGCTGCTTATCTTACTCTCAGCTCTTTTATTCCTTCTTACCGTTCCACTTATCCAGCATTGCATGTTTATTGGGAAACCCCTAATTTAAAAAATTAACTGAGTTAAATGTTGTTATACTGTTACTTCTAAATGTTTGAAAGTTATCAAAAGCTGAATGCATGTTTGAGGAGACATAGTGAGGATAATGTTTACCTATGAGAAATTCAGCTGTCCAATTTTGGAGACATTAAGATCTTGTGTTGGACTTGGCTCTAAACTATATAATTTATTTCAAAAGACAGAGTTGTTTTCTCATTTTGCTGGCTAGCTAGCACTGATGATGGCGTAGTCAGTTATCTACATTCGCTTTCACTGTTGGAAAGTCTTCCTTAGAGACATCATTTCCCCAGGGCAGTGCGCAGAATGACCTGCTAGGGTTAGGCATGCTGTCTTTCGGGCTGCTCCAGAATGCAGCCAATGAGTGACTAGAGCCAGATTTATTTTAGGAAAAATAAAAGTCATTCATTTCACCAAGTGTCACTGTTTCTTCACTTGGCCAAATTGATAGCCAAAGTACATGCTTTTTTCTTTCTTATCCCCTGCTGATGTGAACACTCTCCATTCTCATTTACTCTCCTCACATCTGGATGGTAAGATATGTAAATTGCAGCATGCCACAGTTAAGCCAGCCCTCTTTCAATTGGATTTTCAGTACCCATGTATATTAGCATGTCGAAGATGATAATGCAATTTACATTTCCCTCCCGCCCATCATCTATTAATCTGGCTGCCTAGGGATGGAACTTGTTAAGAATGCCAAATGCCCAGATAACAGGTGCAGCAAATTTACTTTGGCTTTCCTTCTCTCTCCTCACTCAGACTTTTTAAAAAAAATGATTGGATATGTTATTAATCTAATAATCCTAGTGTACCTATCATATACTGTAGAAATGTGATAGCCAGTGTCATCATAAAATAACACTATAAAATTCTAGAGCCTGACATTTTTCTTGACCTCTTAAATTTGTATCTTTACCATTAAAATGAGAAAGAAAAATATTAGGCTTTTGTGGGAAAGCAAAACAAAGTACTTCCTTGGACTTAAGAAAGCATCTGTTTGCAATGTGTTGTCATACGGAAAAGGCAGCAAGCTTTGAAGAAAGCATGCAGTGGTGCAACTGGGTGGCTCAGTTATGGTTTAAGAAAATGTCTAATTTGTTGTCAAAATGGTTTTTCCAGTTTGTCACTATGAAATTTAAAAACCATAGCCCAAAAAGAGTAGAAAATGTTAACATGTTCTATGTTATCTATGTATACAATAATAATAAAACTATATTGCCAGCAATTTGAATTTAAATGTCAGTATCATAAAATTGTCCACAATCAATGACTTTTGTTGGCAAAAATAATGATCAGGATTTTGTTTTCCTCCTGCCTGAAATTCGCCCTCCCCAGTTCTATCTGGATCACCCCTGTAGCCCCAGTACCTGGCACAGGGCCTGATACATAGAAAGGGTGCAGTAAATATTTGTGGAGTGAGATAAGTAAGTAAAAGTTAATCTAAGAAAATATAAAGAAGTTTCTTTGACTTGAGGTTAGCCTACAGATGAGAAGAGCATGTAAAAAGGGCTCAATTATCTTTTTGTGTCATGAATATATTAGATATTAACTTTCTTCTTTGTCACTTCAATTAACAGTAAGATGTCTAGGAAGTCTTCTCTAAAAAGAGTTTCTCTTTATTTTGTTTCATATTTCCAGATAGTCACATCCATGCTTTTTAGCTTTATGGACCTCATAAATGTAATTTGATAATAAGGCTAACAAGGATTTTAGGAAATTTCTTTATAAAAACTCCTGATAGTGTAGTACCCAGAAAAGATTACAAATGAATAATATTATTTCATTTACTCAGTGCCAGGCCCAGTTTTCTGAGCCAGATCCAATGGAGAATAGAACAAGCTTTAGCCTTCATGGAGCTTACATTTCACAATGAATAAACAAACAAACAAATATATACAATTTAATGTCAGAAATTGACATAGTAGGGGGTAGGGAATGATAAGGGCTCTGCTTTCTTTCAAAAGTAAGGTCAAGGAAGACTTCTCTGATAGGAAAGTCAAGGGAAGGCTCTCCTGTTGAGGTGACATTTGGGCTAACTTAAGATAACTAATTTAAGCCGTGCAAATATCTGAGGGAAGGGCTGTCTAGGAGCGGGAACAGCAAGTGCAAAGGCCTTGTGGCAGAAACACGCTTGGCAGCCAGCTCGGGAAAGTACGAGAAGGCCAGTGGGGCTGGAGCAGAGGAAGCTGTTGGAAACATGGTAGGAAATGAGATTCCAGCAGGTGAGCTCATGAAGGATCTTAGAAGCCATGCAAAGTGGGATAGGAAGCCACCATAAAGTACTTCAAATATTTTTATTATGGAAGGCTTTCTTTTCCTCATATGCAAAAGTAGAAAGAACAGCAGAGTGTCTTTCTACTTTCTGCTGTCATCACCCACCTTTTCAAATCTCAGCGCATGACCAGTCTGGCTTCATCTGTCCTGCCCCTTCCCCCAGTAGATTTTGAAGCAAGTCCCATACAGCATGTAATTTCATCTGTAAATATTTTGTGATTTTTCTCTTAAAGATAAGGGCCTTTTTAAAAGTTAGCATAACCACAGTACCATGATTGTGCCTAAAAAACCACAGTCACTCCTTAATATCATTACATATCCAGTCAGTAGTTTGGATCTTGATTTAAGAAAACCAACTTTAAGAAGTTGGTTTTTAAAAAAACCATTGCATACCAAGTGCAACAATGGTTCACAATTAAGAAAAAGTTTGTTTTTTTTTAAAGTTGGTTTTCTTAAATCAAGATCCAGACAAGGTTTGCTGATTGCATTCCTATCACGTTGTTTAGAATGGCCCCTTGCTGCCTGTTGCCTGTAACTGATAGTTAGATCTATAGCCTTGATTAGATTCAATTTTTTCTTTTTGATCAAGAATCCTTCACAGGTGATGTGGTACTTCCTAGTGCATTATATCAAGAGGCACAAAATGTCTGTTATGTTTTATTTTGTTTTTGTAATGATCCAATAAAGATCATTCCCTACATCACTGAGGGTTAAGTTTCTAATTCCATAATTTATTTTGCACTTACTGGTTGGAATTATTCTAAAAACAATAACAACAACAAAACCAAAACTTTCCCTCACCAGCTTTTCAGCTCCCCTGAGGTATAGTCCATTCAGGAAAGATAGGAGAAATGCTTGATCCTCTCCTTTTATCCAGCCTGATGGGTTGTGATTAGGGATGACACAATCTGACTTACATTTTAGGACCACTCTGGCTACCAAGTAGAGAATAGGCTGAAGCAGGGCCACGTGAGGCATCACCGCTAGTAGCCTCCCCTTGACATTCATTTTCTCTTTCCTCATTGGTAAGAGAACCACAATTTAAAAAAATAATTATTTGTAATTGACAAAAATTGTATATATTTGTGGTGTTCAACATGAGGTTTTAATATATATACACATTGGAATGGCTAAATAAAGCTAATTAATATATACATTATCTAATTAATATATACATTACCTCACATACTTATAATTTTTTTTGTAGTGAGAACATTTAAAATCTGCTTTCTTAGCAATTTTCAATTTTACAATACATGGTTATTAACCATGTTGTATAATAGGTCTCCTGAACTTCTCCTTGTCTAACTGAAATTTTGTACCCTCTGACCAGCATCCCCCAATTCTCCAACCCCAGTCCCTGGGAATCACTGTTCTACTCTCTGCTTCTATGCATTTGACTGTTTTAGATTCCACATATAAGTCAGATCACGTAGTATTTGTACCTCTTATGCCTGGCTTATTTTACTTAGCATAATTGCCTCAGTTTCATCCATGTTGTCACAAATGATGGAATTTCCTTCTTTTTTAAGATTACATAGTATTCCATTGTATATATATGCCACATTTTCTTTTCTTTTTCTTTTTAACAGAGTCTCACTCTGTTGCCCAGGCTGGAGTGCTGTGGGGCAATCTCAGCTCACTGCAGCCTCTACCTCCCAGGCTCAAACAATCCTCCCACCTCAGCCTCCCTAGTAGCTGGGATTATAGGCACCCGCCACCATGCCCAGCTAATTTTTTTAAATTTTATTTTTGGTAGAGATGGGGTTTCTCCACGTTGTCCAGGCTGGTCTCGAACTCCTGAGCTCAAGTGATCTGCCCATCTTAGCCTCCCAAAGTACTAGGATTACAGGCATGAGCCGCTGTGCCCAGCCTACATTTTCTTTGTATGTTCATCCATTGATGGACACTTGGGTTGATTCAACATGTTGGCTATCGTGAATAATGCTGCAGTGAACATGGGGGTTCAGGTAGCTCTTCCACATACTGATTTCATTTCCTTTGGATATATACCCAGAAGTGGAATTGCTAGATCATATGGTAGTTCTATTTTTAATTTTTTGATGAACTGCCATACTGTCTTCCATAATGGCTGTACTAATTTACATTCCCATCATCAGTGTACAGGGAGAACCACAAATTTTGATTGGACATTTCTGCCTGAAAT
This sequence comes from Homo sapiens, assembly GCF_000001405.40. Taxonomy (NCBI): domain Eukaryota; kingdom Metazoa; phylum Chordata; class Mammalia; order Primates; family Hominidae; genus Homo; species Homo sapiens. The sequence goes on along the minus strand of NW_013171813.1, from coordinate 31,559 downwards.
AAGAAATTACATTTCCCAGCCTCCTTTACAGCTGCATGTAAGTGTCGGCCAATGAGATGTGAGTAGGACTCCAAGGCACCTGGTTGAAGAGAGCTGACAACAGCAGGAGGTGACCTGTCCCTTCTGCCCTCCTCCTTCTGCCCTGCAGCTTGGCTGTGAAAGAGTTGGGTCCCAGGAATTACTCTGCCCCACAGGGTGACATCGAGGATGGGAACTGCATGCTAGAATGGTAGAGCAGGAATTTAGGAATTTGAGTCTCTGATGACACTGTTGAGCCACCCTACCGACCTGGCCTACCTACCTCTGGACTTCTTTGTATAAGATAAATAAACTTCTGCCTAGTGTAAACTGCTCTGATTTTGCTCTTTTTCCTTTTATAACGTAGCTGACTGATCCCTGATGCATACAGGGGGCAGAGGCTACTATAGTAGTTCAGGTAAAAGATAAGGAAGTTTGGATGAGGGTGGTGACAGTGAAGGTGATGAGAAGTAGGAGGAGTAAGGATGTATACTTTTTTTTTTTTTTTTTTTTGAAGCAGGGTTTTGCTCTTGTTGCCTAGACTGGAGTGCAATGGTGTGATCTCTGCTCACTGCAACCTCCGCCTCCTGGGTTCAAGCTATTCTCCTGTCTCAGCCTCCCAAGTAGCTGGCATTATAGGCACCTGCCACCACGCCCAACTAATTTTTTGTATTTTTAGTAGAGATGGGGTTTCACTATGTTGGCCAGGCTGGTCCCGAACTCCTGACCTCAGGCGATCCACCCACCTCAGCCTCCCAAAGCGCTGAGATTACAGGCATGAGCCACTGTGCCCAGCCGGATGTATACTTTTATTGTACAGCTGCCAGGATTTACTGATGGATCGATGATACGAGAAAGAAATGCACCTAGTTTGAACTGTAGGATTTTGGCTAACAACTGGTCAAATGGTGGTGTCATTTACAGAGATAGGGAACAGAGGAGGAAAAGCAGGTTTGTGAGGCTGGGTGTTCAGTTCATCAACTGAAGTGATTGCTTAAGCCTGCAGGCCATCGGAGCCTCCCTAGTCATAACATCTGAATTAATTGTAAGCCAGCAGAGCAATATATAATGATGTATGATCTAATATAGTCATATTAAGTGCATAACTTCAGAGATTGGAATACATTTTAAGGGACTTGTTTAAAGAACCTTATATTCTTTTATGGGTGTGTGAATTGATTATGAAAAAATTTATAATGCAAATCAAACTTCAAACCTTCCTTATTTGGGAACTTGAAAAGGTCTGAAAACATCTCTCTCAGTATTTCAATTAGCCTCCTAAACTATTTACAGCTGCCTTTAATTCCTTCTAGAACAAGGCAGCGGATATGTGAGTACAGAATAAAATGAGACAAACACTTCAGGATCTCCTCTTATCCTGGATTCAGCAGCATCTTTTGTTCTAGCTCTCAACGCCTCAGTTAATGCTCAGTCTCCACATGTGCCAGGGGCTTTTCAGTTTATAATTCCCAAAAAAACATATGCTGGCTGGATTTGATCGCCTAAGAAAAAGCGAAAATAGTACTTATCTCTTTAGGATTCTGTAGTAATCAGACTAGGCTGTTGCATTGTTGAATTATGTGGGGTTTTCTAAGATCAAGTGTGCTTAGTGCAATTTGTGCTTCCTCATGTCTAGATAGCATAAGTTTTGAGTCTGGCATTACCATCTGGAAACCAGAATCATTTGCAGAGCTAACAGTCTAACAACTCAATTTTTAAAATTTTATTTTTATTTTTGTTTTTATTTTATTTATTTATTAATTTTTTTGAGACAGAGTCTCACTCTGTCGCCCAGGCTGGGGTGCAGTGGTGCGATCTCGGCTCACTGCAGCCTCCATCTCCCGGGTTCAAGCAGTTCTCTGCCTCAGCTTACTGAGTAGCTGAGACTACAGGTGTGAGCCACCATGCCCAGCTAATTTTTATAGAGGCTGGGTTTTGCCATGTTGGCCAGGCTGGTCTTGAACTCCTGGCCTGAAGTGATCCACCTGCCTCAGCCTCTCAAAATGCTGGGATTATAGACTTGAGCCACCACGCCCAGCCATTTTAAAAGATATATTTTAAATAAAAAGTATTTTTGTGGGTACACAGTAGATATATATATTTATGGGGTACATGAGATGTTTTGATGTAAGCATGCAATGTGAAATAAGCACCTCATGGAGAATGGGGTTTCATCCCCTCAAGCATTTATCCTTTGAGTTACACACAATCCAGTTACATTCTTTATTTAAAAATATACTAGCAACCCAGTTTTAATCAATTTCTTGAATCCTATTTATTCCTTTTTATGACTCACTCCTGCCTTAGGACTTGTATGTTTGCAGTTCCCCTTGGCAGGAGCACTCTGTTCCTAGATCTCACCCAACTGGCTCCTTTTGCTGTTCAGGTCCCCATCCGAAGGTCACCTCCTCAGGAAGACCTCTTTAGTTATTCTAACCTAAATCAACCCCATCCGATATTATCACTTTCCTGTGCTTTATTTTCTTCAAAGCCCTCATCACTTTCTGAAATTATCTTGTTCTATTATTATTATCCTTATCAGTATATAGATGGCTAGATGGCTCACTACCAACGAGAGTAAACATATGTTGAATTTTTCCTATATGCCTTACACAAATTGTACTTAATACAAAAGTCTGATAAGGACAGTTAACATTTATTGAGTACTTACTACTTGCTAAATGCTGGGCTAAGTACTTGCCCACACAAGTCCACATCTGTGTCATCTCATGCCTGGACTATAGCAGTGGCTTCCTAACTGGCCTCCCTCTTCCCGCTGCAGTCCGTGGCCCACATAGCAGCCAGCGCTTTTTCTAAAACGTTACTCAGGTTACATCAAGATCAGCTTTCAGCCTTGGGAATGCCTTCAGCCCTCTCACGTCCTAACAATGGCTTACAAGATCTCTGGGATCTGGCCGCCACAACCTGTTGGCCATGTGTCTAACCACACTCCTTCCCTTGCTCCCCTCTGGCCACAGGTTCCAAATCACACTTCCCCCAGACAGCCATCCATCCACATGGCTTCATTTGTCACTCATGTCTCTGCTGAAGTGTCACCTCCTCATAGAGGCCTTTCCTGACCGCCCCCCTCCCCCTCACGCCATGTAAAAGAGCTCTCCAGTCTCTCTGTCCCCATATCATGATTTATTTCCCGTCACTCATCACTACCAAATGTTCTGTTACCGACTTTCCTTCCTTTGGGAAGTATTTGTTGAGTAGTTGCTAGATACTAGGCTCTGTTCTAGGTACTGGGTATACAGAAGGCAAGAAGATGGGCAAATCCCTCTTGACATGGAAATACGGGGGAGACATGCACTACACTCACTGGGGAGGTAGAATATACGATATACTAGATGGCTCTGGGCAAGACTAAAGCTGGACAGAAGGTAAGGGAGTGATGGGGCAGGAGAGGGAGAGTTCCATTGAAAATAGGGCAGTCAGGGGAGGCCTCGGGGAGACAGTGGATCGCCGTGCCAAGTGCTGAAGAGGTGAGGGGGTGAGCACCATGAATAAGTAGAGGGAAGGAGAGAACATCATGTGCAAAGGCTCTGAAGGGGAAACCTGTGGCTGCAGGGGGAACCAGGGGAGAGGAGGAGATGTGGCCAGAGAAACGATGGGGGCACCAGACCACGGGACCTTCGCAAGTGCGCCAGCCTCAGCCTAGGTACTTTTCAGCGGAGAAGCAGCCTGAGCTGACTTACATTTTTACTGGGTCCCTCTGACCCTTGGGTGGAAAATAGACTTTAGGAGAGCAACGGTTGAAATAGAAAGTCCTGTTAGCCTGGGAAAGATCGGAGTGGCTAGGACCAGGGTGGCGGGGGTGGAGGTGGTGAAGAGTGATTACAGTTTGGATATATTTTGAAGGTAGATCCTATGGATTGTATCAAGAAATTGAGAAACAGAGCATGAAAGGATGCCTCATTTCAGGGTTCTAAAGCCAGACCGCTGGAGAGATGCTGCAGTTGGAGAGAGGGTCAGACCTTAGCTGTCTTTGTGGAGCCTTTGTGGGTACTAGAAAAAGGTTCCCCCTTTGGGCTGAAGCTGTTTTGCCTCCATTCCTGGCCCTCAGCAGAAATCTTTATGCACAGTAGCAGGCAGTGACATTCATCAGGAGCTTTGGTTTGGGACATAAGTTTATATCCAATGAGATGCTGACTGGGCAGCTGGTTATGAGTTTGGAGCCCAAGGGGACAGATAGAACTACAGGCGTAAAGGCTATTTGTGAGCATTCCTGGCAGTTTTAGCTTTATATTTATTTATATGTGAGTTGCACTGTACATTACATATCCTTTATTCATCTGTTCATTGTCTCCTCCATCCTGATGTGAGCTGGAGGAGGACCGTGACCATGTCTGCATTTCCTAATTGGTTGTATTCCTAGACCTAGCACAGTGCTGTGCTGGCACCTGGGCACTTAATGAACATAGTTGAATGAATAAACTGGGGATGCCACTGCTTTATGCTTGTCCTGTGGCTTCATGAGGTTGAGTATGTGGCCAGCCCTGTATGCCAATTTGTATGCCAGATGGTCCCATTCTTATTCTATGTCCAAAGCCCAAAAAGAGCTTTTTTTAAAACCTCCACCACTTACTACCGTTTATCACATGGTTACCAAAAGGAAATTTCTGTTCAAAATGACTTTTCATTAATCAAGACTCCTTGCAGCTAAAACACACAATAAAAGGATGAGAAAATGAAGGAAAACAAAGCTTTTTTTAGATATCAGATACCTTTTATGGTGACTTCTTTTAACTTTTTCTTTGCTACATTGCAGGCAAATATGCTATTTCTATCTTATGAGATGGCATAAAGAGTGACTTTATTCAGCATTTCTGTTGCATTTAAACTCATGACTGGAGAAGAGAGATGCCTAGGGCCTCAGCATTTTTATTTGGAATGGTCAGAAATGGCTTTGTGCAAGAAGTGAGGTTTCAACTGACTTACGCATCAGTTAGCTAGTTCTGTATGATTACAAACAATCCCACATTTAGTGGCTTAAAATAATAAGCACTTATTATTGCTCACAAGACTGTGGTTCAGCTGGGTGGTTTTTCTGGTGTTGCCTGGGCCCTCTCATCAGGTAGGGAACTCTGCTTATTGTGGCTAGGCTCACATATCTGGGGATCAGCTGGCTCTAGGCTGGTCTAGCATGGTCTTGGTTGGAGCATCCAGGTGCACATCCTGCAGTAGGCTGGACCAGGCTTGTTCACATGCCATTGGCAGGGTTCCAAGAACAAGACTGGGTAGACCCAAAGCTTCTTGAGGTCTCAGCTTGAAACTGGCATAGCATAACTTCGGCCACCTTGTATTGCTGAAAGCAAGTGGAGTGGAGACTCATTACTTGATGGAGGAGCTGCAAAGTCACATTGCAAAGAGTATAGGCAGAAAGAGGCCATTAGTTAGAAACATCGGCCGGGCGCGGTGGCTCACGCCTGTAATCCCAGCACTTTGGGAGGCCGAGGCAGGCGGATCACGAGGTCAGGATATCAAGACCCATCCTGGCTAACATGGTGAAACCCCGTCTCTACTAAAAATACAAAAAATTAGCCGGGCGTGGTGGCGGGTGCCTCTAGTCCCAGCTACTCGGGAGGCCGAGGCAGGAGAATGGCGTGAACCCGGGAGGCGGAGCTTGTAGTGAGCAGAGATTGCGCCACTGCACTCCAGCCTGGGCGACAGAGCGAGACTCTGTCTCAAAAAAAAAAAAAAAAAAAAAGAAACATCATTCTAATACATGGGCTTGAAGGAGAACTAGGGTTTGGAAGGAGGACCTGAGGGAACTGTTGTGAATCTTCTTGGATCTACAGGAGAAATGGGCCTGGCCTTCCACTGACCTTCATCCTACCTCCCTATTGCCTGACAGACACATGAAGCATAGCTTCTCTACCAGCTGTAGGTTTTAACACTAGATCTGTTCTCTCTCTCTCTCTCTCTCTCAGAAAAGACAATCTCATTTGAAAGTACTTCTGTAATTGTTTTAAGATGTTTTCATAGAACTATACTAAAAGTTGTTTTGCAAAATGCCTCTCATCGACCCTTTTCTTGAACAGTTATCGTGATCATGTTGCTTTTTCCACAAATAATGATCATACCCTTCCCTTGTAGGATTACGCCCATACGTTGACCTGTGTTACTGAAAGAGAAAAGTTTATTGTACCCATCAAAGCTAGAGGGGCACGAGCCATTCTCGATTTTCCTGACAAGCTGAATTTTTCCACTTGTCCTGTCAAATACAGCACCCAGAAGATTCTGCTGGTACGAAACATTGGCAACAAAAATGCTGTATTTCACATCAAAACTTGTAGGTATGCATGCCTTTAGCTCTTGTCTTTGATTGATTATAGCTAAATCTAGTCAGCTCAAGTAATTTGCTACCATAACATTGGGGGGTGGAATTGCTTGTTACAGTCTTCAGTTGCAAAGCTGGGAGACCTCACTGATGTAGGGTAGACTTCCTCTTCATCCTCAGAGGAAACAAAAATTCAAGGTTTAATATCTTATATCCATATTATACTAAATCCTCTTTTTGGTTCTTCAAAATGCTGGATAAAAGTCCTTCTTTTAGTACAGAGAATGGCCCATGAGAATATAGAAATAAATTTGTCTTGACTGAGAATTTTTATAACTGGCTTGATTAGTTTTCTGTTGCCATTGTAACAAATTGTCACAAACTCAGTAGCTTAAAACAACACAAATTTATTATCTTACTTTTCAGTGGGTCAGAAGTTGCACTGGGCTAAAATCAAAGTGAGAGCAGGGCTGCATTCCCTTCTGGAGGCTTGAGGGGAGAGTACATTTCTTTGCCTTTTCCAGTTTCTAGGGGCCACCCACATTCCTTGGCTCATGGCCCTCAGTTTTCTTCTCTGAAAAATGGGGAAAAGTATACCAGCCACTTCATAAGGTTGTTGGGATAATCAACAGAAACTGCTGGTATATATCAAGTGCTGTATAATCGGTGTTTGCTCTTTTCTTTTTCCTTCAAATGAGCTATGGCCAGTGTGGTAGACAGAATGATGGCTCTCCAGACATGTCCATATCCTAATCCCCAGAACCTGTGACTGTATCATGTTGTATGGCAAAGGGGAATTAATATTGCAGATATAATTAAATTTGCTGATCAGCTAATGTTAAAATTGGGAGATAATCCTGGATTCACTGGATGAGCCCAGTGTAACCAACAAGGGCTTTTAAAAATAGAAGAAGGAAGCAGAAGAGTTCAGCGTGGTGAGCTGTGAGAGGGACTCAATCTGCTGTTGCTGGCTTTGGAGGATGAGAAAACCGAGGGATAGAGAGGTCACATCATTTCCTGAAGAGCACAGAGCTAGTAAGTGATAGAGCTGGATTTTAATCTGAGTATTTGTGGACTAACCACAGTGTAGACACCATGGGACAGTATAAAGCAGGTGTCCCCAACCCCCGGGCCATGAACTGGTACCGGTCCAGTCCGTGGCCTTTTAGGAATCAGGCTGCACAGCAGGAGGTGAGTGGTGGACAAGAGAGCAAAGCTTTATCTGTATTTACAGCTGCTCCCCATCACTAGCATTACCGCCTGAGCTCCGCCTCCTGTCAGATCAGCCGCGGCATTAGATTCTCATAGGAGCACACACCCTATTGTGAACTGTGCGTGTAAGAGATCTAGGTTGCATGCTCCTAATGCCCAGTGATCTGTCACTGTCTCCCATCACCCCCAGATGGGAACGTCTAGTTGCAGGAAAACAAGCTCAGGGCTTCCACTGATCTACATTATGGTGAGTTGTGTAATCATTTCATTATATATTACAATGTAATAAGATAGAAATAATGTGTGCAATAAATGTAATGTGCTTGAATCATCCTGAAAATATCCACCCCACCCCCAATCTGTGGAAAAATTGCCTTCCATGAAACTAGTCTCTGGTGCCAAAAAGGTTGGGGACTGCTGGTATAAGAATGATGAAACAACCCCATCTCTCAAGGACCTCTCTTATAAGATGGGAAAGAAGGATTTGTTTTGGGGCATGAGAGCAAGTGGCTGACCAGTGGGGTCTTAAAAAGAACAACCAGCTTGGGAAGACAGGAAGCAGGGGTTCAAGTTCTTTTCTATAAAAAGTGGTATGTATATACTGGATTTAAGTTCTGTTTTTAAAAAGTAGTGTGTATATACTGGATTTAAGTTCTCTTTCAGAAGGGCATTATCTGTGGCATCCTTTGCTGACTTAATGACTCATTTGTCCAAAAGGGATTAGAATTTGCTTCTACTTGATTCCCAAAAGTTAGGCTACCATGGAGTACTCTTTTGGTAATTTCCTACCTTAGGAGTTCCTGGACTGATAGCTCATATGCAAATCCCACACCTTCATAAGACACAAGTTCAAGTTATGAATGTCCTAGAGAAACTTTGTTCCTTTAATTAAAAACTCAGATACACACTTTTTCTTTTGCTGATGGGAGTGTGTTTGGGGAGTCCTTCACATTTCTCAGGTTTATACGGGGATCTGGTACCAGTCCCCTAACTTGACCATTGTGAGGCCTTGTCTCCGGCTCCAGCAGGGCTATTAAAAACCCAGGCTTCTGGGCTACTGGGAACCCAGGGCAGACCTATCATTAGCTCAGTGGCTTACTGCTGTGGTTCTTAGGTTCCTCTTTGTTTTGGAATGGTATGAGTTTTTCTTATTTTTGTGCATGCTCATTTATGCATTTATTTACATTATCTTTTATCCAGTCTTTCTAGGTATTTTCTGGTGGGAGGGTTTTCAAGTGACCCACTTTGCCATACTGTGGGTAGCAGCACTGCCATATTGCCAGTTGAGGGCACATCCTTTGGGAGGGAATTTGTGTTTATTTCTCCAAGTACTCTAGGTGAATCACTCTCTCTGAACTATTTCGTGTAGATCCACATTTCTGTCTGATATCCTATTTCTCCTGGCTTAAAACTACCTTTAATATTTCTTGTAGCACAAGTCTACTGTAAATTCCCTGTTTTTGTTTATCTGGAAAAAAGTGTTTATTTTTCCTTCATTTTTGGAAGATATTTTTTTTCACCATATAGAATTCTGGGCCAACAATTATATATATATTTTTTTCCTCAGTACTTTAAATATGTCACTCAATTGTCCTTTGACTTACATTTTTCTAATGAGAAGTCTGCTGTGATTCTTATCTTTGTTCCTCTGTATGTAATTGTCTCTTTTTCTTGGGCTACTTGCTGATTTATTTGGTTTTTGCAGTTTGGAAATGATGTGTCTAGGTGTAAGTTTTGTTTATGTTTTGCTTTTTGTTTTAAAGATTTTGTTTTGCTTTTGCTTGGTTTGGGTTTTAATTTTGCTTGAGGTTCTCTGAGCTTCCTGAATCTTTCATTAATTTTGGAAAATCTCAGCTATTATCTCTCCAAATTTTTTTTTTGTTCTATCCTCTTTCACTTTTTCTTCTGCTTGCAGGAAAGTTCTGCCTGCCACAGGCGAAAGCCACAGTCTAAACCGTATGTGCATATCCCATCCCCCTCGGGGGAAATGGGTTGGTCTGTCTTTAGATTTCAGGCTATTTGATGTGCTACCTCTGCTCTCTGACAGGCACAAGAAAGGTTGTGATTTTGTTATTTATTTCACTTTTTCTTATGGTTAGGGTAAAAGAAACATTCTTTCCAGCTTTCTGCATTCTAGGTAGAAGCAAGATTCTAAACCACCTTAAATAAATCAACCACTAAAGGCAAAGGAAAAGTTCTTTTGGAACTCAGTGTCTCCAGACATTGGTCATAAATTCTCTACAGGCCTTGTTTGTCGTCTCATGGCAAACCTCACATATTTTGATGGAGGAGAAGGAAACAGGTTGTTCAGCTGGCTTCCCATGAATTAGAAATAACCCATCTTGGCCTGGCATGGTGGCTTATGCCTGTAATTTCAGCACTTTGGGAGGCCAAGGCGAGTGGAGCACTTGAGCCCAGGAGTTTGAGACCAGCTTGGGCAACATGGTAAAACCCCGTCTCTACAAAAAATACAAAAAACAAAAAAATAAGCTGGGTGTAGTGGTCCATACCTGCAGTTCCAGCTACTTGGGAGGCCAAGGTAAGAGGATTGGTTGAGCCCAGGAGCTCGAGGTTGCAGTGAGCCATGATCATGCCACTGCACTCCAGCCTGGGTGACAGAGAAAAACCATGTCTCAAAAAAAAAAAAAAAAAAAACCATCTTTTTCAATTGAAAAAATGGTCTCCCACAACCACCATTCACAATACCCATTAAAAACTGTTACAATGGTATTTTTTTTTTTCTATGAAAAAAAGAATCTACCTAAGGTGGATATGCAAGTGCGGGAACATATCTTCCTGCGCTGTTTGGCTGAATTTGAAAAAAACCATGCCAAAATGGCAATTTCGTATATTTTAGATTCATGTAAATGTGAAGCAAAAATCACTTCACAGATTTAATAGTGTGAAGTTGCAAAAAAAAATATAAAATCTTTCTATCTATCTACCTATGAATATGAATTATGTTTTCCTAATATAGAAACAATTCTAAGGTAAAATGGGAGGCAACTCAGGGACTGGCCAGGATTTGTCAACAGTAGACATGCTGGCCCAGCATTGCCATTTTACTGTGAAGGGAGTAAAGCCTGAGGAGTTAAATGACTTACCCAAACTCCCCCAGTAAGTTAACATCAAAACCTGGATTCGTGCAAACATGGGCTAGCTCTGGGCTTGTTTGCCCTCAGGTACATGTCTCACCATTCCCCTGCGCTGCTCAGTGTCCCTGTGGGGCTTCCTGAGCCTTCCTAGCCTCCTGGCTCAGCCAGATTCCAGCTAGGTTTGACCAGTCAGGGACACTAGCAGGAGACTGGAGAGTAGGAAGAAGGAAGAAGCCTCTTCCCTCTTTGTCTTCAGCAGAGTCCCCAGCCACCACTGCACCTCCTCCATGGTTCTAGCCACTGTCAGGCTGGCCTGCCACGGTTCTAACTTCTGCCAGGTGACCCTGGTCCCCAGGATCTGATAACACTTCCTCCTCTCCTTTTGCTTCCAGTCCAGGGGTGGAAAAAGCTTACCGCTGTTATGAATCTCGGAGCTGTCTCACCTTCTTCAGTTGGAGTTCTCACCTCTCCCATCTTCTGTGTAACCAAGTCTCTCAAATTCCCTGTTTGCAAATATTTTTGTTTTCCTGTTTAGACTCTTCATGAAATAATGGCTTTATGTTTTCTCCACAAAATGCATGTTTTTCAACTATCATTGATTCTGTGAGTTGCCTCAAGTCCTACCAGTCAGTCCCTTTTCTGTTTAAATTAGCCACAGCTGGCTTCTGTTGTTTGCAACTGAGAACGCTGATGGCTTCAATGAGAAAGAATGTGGTTGAATTTGTGGTCACATCATATTGAGTTAGAATCTCTAAGGAGATCCCCTGACAAGGATCCGTTCTAAAAACCACACAGATGTTTCTGTTCCTAGACAGTGTTCTTCAGTTAATATGGTTGTTAATAGACATGGTAGAGCAGTGGATATAGTCTGAGAATTTGGAGTCAAAAGCCCATGGTCCTCCCACTTTTAGTGTCAATATACAGCTAGAAATAATGTCCCACAGGAAATTGTTTAAAAAAACAGATCATCCTTTTCTCGTTGAAATAATGATTTTATTAGTGGTTAAGTTTATAAAATGCTTAGGTTCTTATAAATCACAAAAACTAAAACTTTCTTTGCATGTCTGTTACCCTTATTCGAATGTGAGCTTCTCAAATGGAAGGATTGTATCTAACTCTTTTCATTTGTATGTCCCCAGCATCTGTCTAGAATAAATAAACACCCAATAAATGTTTATAAGATGCCTAACCAACAGTATATCACAAAGGCAAAACTACAACTATAAACCTCTACAATAAAATAAAATAAAACACATTCTCCAACTGCTATAAAATAAGCATAATAATTTTACACTAACAAAAGAGGCTGCAATGGGCTGTAAAATGTACAGAGAACATAAGCAATTATTGTTAAATTTGACCTAAAACTCTAGTAGGTATCAGAATAACTTTGATGATTAAAGTAGGATTAACATTGGAAGGTGAAATAGAGAGTATTAAGAAGCAATTTCAAAATCTAAAAACTCAAGTAAGGAATTAAACAAGAAAGATCATCTGAAGAATAAATACTAATATTATATTCAATATTTAATATTGTAGGATCCATATTTAGTCTTCTGCTAAAATATTGAATCATTTGGATGGTTTTAGTTCTTAAGAAGAGCTCATAATTGATGGAACAAAAACTCAAATCTTTCTCATGGCTCATGATTTTTCACAAAACCAAACTCCCTCCATAATTATTTGATATTAATCAAGATATGATATCAAAACCAAATATTTTGATAGACTGAACCATCCTTATACCCTTGAAGAACAACACCTTTTACTTCTTTGTAAGAGCATTTTCTGATACTTGATATTTTCTAGCCCGTTCAGCCTGTCTGCATTTTAGTAAAATGAAGTACAAAATCAAATTATAGACAATGTGTAACCACCAGAACTTGACACACTCTACCCAATTAACATCTGTTAGGCAGCTGTAAGTAGCAATGGCAATCCCAGGTGATTATAACTACTGAAGAAGTTTGTGTAACCTAAACCCAACGATTAGCACAAAGGCAAAGTAACCCTTACCACTCCGTGGAACTTGGATTCCTGGAGGTCGTACAGATGGGATACTAGTATCACTTTTTCTGTAAAAATTATTAATAGTTTAGGTACTGCAATATAATAATATCCAATTCATTTTAAAACTATTCTTTTGCTACCAAGAAATATTTGAAAATAAAATGAAAGTACAATGCAGGAAGAAAAATATTAGGAAGTAGGGAGGCAAAGGATAGAAGTAAATATGGTGGTGTTGTTCCTAAAGCCGGGAAACTGGGCCCAGTTCTCACTTCTTCCGATTCTCACTGAGGCCGTAAGGAAGGAAGAAACTTTGAGACTGGGAGACTCACCGTCACTTCCCACAAGGCACAGATTCTACTGAAGGTTTGCTCCTTCTCATTCCACCACGATGTCATAAACACTGATAGTTGATTACAAATATTTTTATTTACCTTTAAGAGTTTATTGTAATTCAATTAAGAACCTCTTCTGAGAGGCTCCTGAGTAAAGAACCATGTATGGGGTGATGAGTGACACAAAGATGACTCGTGATTGTGTTTTCCCTTCCCTCTCTTCTCAAGAGTTTCTAGCTATTGAGAGAGGCAGGCATGAAAACCAACTCAAGTACAAAGTAAACCACTGTATAAACTAAAAGGGAAGTTATAGTCTCTGAGAGGAAAGAGATACTATTCACAAAAGGGAGAATCAGGAAAGATTCTATTTAAGAGGTGACTTTGAGTCTGGGCTGTGAGAGGTGGCTTCAGAAGGAGTATGGCATGTGGGAAATGGCAAGTCACCTGATGTGATCCTAGCAGTTCCGATTGTCTATGTGGGGGCCACAATCTGGTGGGAAGAGAAAGCAGGTGCAGTGCTGGGGGAGGTTGTGGGTGAAGAGACTAAAGCCTGCCTCCCATCCCACCCCAGCACTGCCTTGGAACATGACAGGTGTATAGGATATTTGGACAGATGTATGTGTGTAATGAAAATGCAAAAACCTACTGGGAGCAGATTGTGTGGGACCTGAAATGCCTAGGAGTTTGAACTTGATTGCACAGGTGATGAGGACCGCTGAAGGTGTTTGAACAAGAGATTGATGTGTTATGACCTGTGTGTGTTTTTTACACTCTCTCTAGAGCAGTGTGAAGGAGTGAGGGGGGAATGATAAAAGCTTGAACTCATCGAAACACCCAAACACATCCACAGATTCATCACACAGCATCTAGAGGCTGCCAGTGAGGGAGATAAAAATAGCCATAACAAAAAGAATAATAAACACTTGTATAGCATTTCCTTTGTGCCAGGCATTATTCTAAGCACTTGACCTATATCAACCCCTTTAATCCTCACTATAACCGTATGAAGTAGGTGCTATCATTACCCTCCTTTTACAGATAAGGAAACTGAAGGTTAGGTGACTTGCCCAAGGTTGTGGCAGAGCTGGGTTTTGAACTCATTCGGTTGGCTCCAGAGGTCAGGCTAGTAACCACTGCCCCAGAGTGCCTCTGCAGCAATGCCTGGGGTTCACTGGTGGATCAGTGCTACAGGTATGGGGACAGGAAAAAGGAAAGGAAGCAGGAAAATCAGGAAGTGAAAGGAGAGGAGATCCACTTATTCATGGGATCTAAAAATCAAAACAATTGAACTCACGGACATAGAGAGTAGAATGGTTACTGGAGGTGGGAAGGGTAGTGGGGGTTGGGTGGGGAGTTGGGGAAGGTTAATGGGTATTAAAAAATAGTTAGAAAAAATGAATAAGACTATTTGATAGCACAACAAGGTTACTATAGTCAATAACTTAATTGTACATTTTAAAATAGCTAAAAGAGTGTAATTGGATTGTTTGTAACACAAAGGACAAATGCTTGAGGGGATGGATATGCATTCTCCATGATGGGATTACTTCACAGTGCATGCCTGTATCAAAACATCTCACGTACCCCATAAATATATATACCTACTGTGTACCCACAAAAAGTAAATTTTTTTTTAAAACTTAAAAAAAGAAAAGAGAGGAGATCAAGTAGAAAGTACCAGAGAAAATAACCAATTGCTCACAGTAGGGAGCACCTGAGGTCCTGTAGTAATACTCTCAGATGCCACCCAGTGCTACCCCTGACATAAACTCTGTATCCTTATAGCAGAAAGCTTAGATTTTCTGAAACTGAGTTCATCATCTAAGGGAAGATTTAAGGAATGACAGCTCTAAGAACTGTTGTGATCGAAGTAAATAATCAGAAACAGCTCGGTCTGCCAGATGCATTACACAACACATTACTTTGAAAAACTAGCAATTTAAAGAAGTGAAATGGACCATGAAAATAATTAAATGGGCTGGGTTTCCTATTTAGGAAGAACTCTCTAAGTTACTTAAGGTATTTCACCATCAGATCCAGCTTCCCTCTTACTATTCTCTTCCAAAACAATTAAACTATTTCCTGTTTCCAAATCAACCCTCACTCCCCACAATGTCTGCATCCCAAATTATATTTTCAAGACACAGAATTTGTCCTCAGTTTGCCTTTTCAAATGCACTCTCCACCCTTCTTCAGTTTGCTCTAGCCCCGGAGGCTGGCTTCTACAGCCTGGGTCAACAGCCCTCGACTCGCATTTCTGGCTCTGGTTGTGTTCACCCAGTGAGGGTCTGGTAGACAATGAGATGGGAGGGGATGTGAGGTCAGGATATTTTTTCCCCATTGTCTTCCCTGGGAGACCACCTGGGCTGCTGTCTCCCTTGGCTACGTCTCCTTGCTCCCCATAAGGCAGCCTTCTCTTAGGCCTCTCCTTGCGGTTTTAAAAACCATGCCTTCTCTCCATGGCTCTTTTGTGGCAGCGCTACTGTTACCACCTGGGCTATTGCATCATCTCCTGTAGTTCCTCTACACCCCTCCCACCCTTTTAATATAGACCCTCTGTTCATCTGTCCTGAATTATCCTAAGGCGAGTGAGGGTGCTATCCCTTTCCTTTTGGGGCTCAGATATATTTTTCCACTATGATGCCCTCTCTCCTGTGAACTCTCACAAAACTCGATTTTTATCCCTTTGAAGGCACTGTTCTTTTGAAAATGACAATATTTGCATACATATTTTAAGTCTGTTCCTTACAGCAATCTCAGTGTTTGAGGACAAAGGCTGGATTTTATTCATTTGCAGTCACCCTAACTTGAGTGCCTGAGCCCAGCAGGGATACTCAATGAATGTTAAAAGCAGGGCTGAATGGCAAGGACACAAACAAGAATATTGTTGCATTGTTTAAGTTGCCCTTACGCTTGCTAATCTAATGCTGTCATTTTAACATTAAAACTAAAGTTCTTTCACATTAGGTAGCAAAAGTCTACTTCACTTCTAGATCATGAAATTGCAGTGCTGGGTCTGAGCTGTCTGCAGAACTAGAACTCCTGTCTCCTTTCCTCCCCGTCTCACACTAGTCAGAAATATGCTCTGATGATGTGCCTCTCTGTGTGTTGCAGGCCTTTCTCTATAGAACCAGCTATTGGAACTCTTAATGTGGGAGAGTCCATGCAACTGGAAGTGGAGTTTGAGCCACAGAGTGTGGGCGATCACAGTGGAAGACTTATCGTGTGTTATGACACAGGTATGCAGTATTCTTTGTTAAAAGTTCTACATATTAAGAAAGGTCAGATGAGAATGTTCTCACTCATAAGTGGGAACCAAGCTACGAGGATGCAAAGGCATAAGAATGATACAATGGATTTTGTGGACTTGGGGGAGAGGGCAGGAGGAGGGTGAGGGATAAAAGACTACACACTGAGTACAGTGTACACTGCTTAGGAGATGGGTGCACCAAAATCTCAGAAATCACTACGAAAGAACTTATTCATGTAACTAAACACCACCTGTTCCTCCAAAAAACCACTGAAATTAAAAATAAATAAATAATAATAAAATCAATTTTAAAAAATTTAAAAAGGTCAGATGGGAAATATGATAAAGCTGAATAGGAAATGGTTATTTTGGCTGCATTCGAGTAAGCTAAGATCCACAAGATAAAAAAAAAAAAATGAATGCCTCCAGTAGAAATGATGTGGAGTCAGAAATCCCCCTAACTGGTGTCCCCAGTGCTTGAAAGCCTGAGGAATACAGGACTCAGGAAGGAGCCCATCCCCAGGAGCCACACTGGTGGATTGAGGTTGTCTGTATATTAAAATTTGCAGGTAATTTAATGCCCCATGGGTTTTCCATTTGACTTATTGTGATATTTGTCTAACATTTTAAAAATGTAAACCCCAATTCAGAATGTTCTTATATGTGCCCACTAGTCTATTAAGATCCAGTTACTTTAATCCTTAGAACATGCAAATATCCTACATAACATCTTACAGGAATATAGGACTGTATCTGTTGCCACTAGTATTTTCTTGAAGGCCACACCCTCCATAATCACGAAAATTACACATTGTTGCAAATATTTAATTTATGGTCATGTAGATGGCATGTACATTATGCAGTCTCCAAAGTTGGCTTCCAAATTAATATTTTACATTGCCATTTATTATTTTATGCTTTTTCTCATTTCCTTCTCACTTCTGCTTCACCCATTCATGTTGATTGACCCAGATTATCTGCAGAAGGGCGTTGTAGGGAGAAAACAGAGGCGCACAGCCGGGGAAAGAGTAAGCTAAGATCCACAAGATGAAGAACCCACAGAAATGATGTGGAGTCAGATGGAAATCCAACCTAACTGGTGTCATTGATGCTTGAAAACTTGAGGAATGCAGGGCTCAGGAAAGAACCCATCCCTGGAAGTCACACTGGTAGATTGGGGTGATCTGTGTGTAGATAGAAACTTGAAGGTACACCCAGAGAAGGAGCAGCACAAGGCATCTAGAGTGTAGTTCAGAGTTGCTGGCTTTGTGGACGTGTATTTGAGGAGGACGACTCAAGCCCTTGTCTTAGGTCCCATGGTTAAGTGGCCCTAGCTCCACATTGCTCAGCAGAACAATGCCACAGACCAGCCAGTGATGTGGTCTATCTGTTTTGTCTATTAGTTTTAGCCACACTCGTTGGCTGCTAGCAAGAGAAACTAGCTTAAGAAAAGGGGGAATGTTTGACCCATATAACCAAAGGGTAGAAGGCTGAAAGCACAGCTCATAACACATTGGGGCATCAGTTTTCCAAGATAGTTGTGTCATTTTACATTCCCACCAGCAAGGCATGAGAGTTCTAGTTGCTTCACATCCTCACCAACATGTAGTGCTGTTTTGTCAATTTTAGACATACTAGTGGTGTAAAGCGATGTCTATCAGTGGTTTTAATTTTCATGTCCCTAATGATTAATGATGTTGCCTGCCTTCTCAGGTGCTTACTGGCCATTCATTTATCTTTTTAAGTGTCTGTTCAAGACCTTTCTTTGCTTATTCTTTTGTTATTAATTTGTAAGTACCTTTTATTACTCAGTATTCTAAATACTAGTCATTTGTCAGATGTATGTATTATTAATATTTTCTCCAAGTCTGTAGCTTGCCTTTTCATTTCCTTGATAATATTTCTTAATAAGCAGCGAGTTTGAATTTTGACAAAATCCATGTTACCAGTTTTCTTTTCTTACAAGATTAACACTTTTTGCCTCCATGCTAGGAAATCTTTGCCTTCTGCAAGATCATGAATATAATCTCCCATGTTTACTTCTGGAAGGGTTATAGTTTTAGCTCCTGTCTTTAGGTTAATGCCTCATCTTTTATTTAATTTTTGTGTATGTGTGATGTAGAGGCCGTGTGTCATTGTTTCCCCATATGCATTATTTGCTGTTTTCCGTCTTGTTCTGGAATATGGAATACTCTATTATTCCAATACTTAATCTATTATTGCACTGTTATTCATTCATTTTTACCTCTATATTTTCCATTTCTTTTCCTCTGTAGACTGATCTGGATACTTTCTTTTTATTCATTATTCCATTCAATAATCCCCTCTTCAGTGAAGTCTCACCTGCTGAGTTTTAACTTTTTAATTATTATTATTGTTTTTATTTCTGGAAGTTTTATTTAGTTCTTATCAAATCTGACTGCTCTCCCCTCTTTTATTTTTCAAGTTTCCCTTTGATTTCTTAAATATATTAAATGTGGTTTTTTTATATTTTGTATCTGATAATTCAAATTAAGTCTACTTATTTAGTTTGCTGTTTATTGTTTCTGCTGGTTTTCAACCAGGGTATCTTATGTCTTTTTGTGTTTTGTGATTTTTGGATTTGAAATTCCAACTCTGGGCAGGCCCTGAACTTTATCTGCTGTCCTCGGCACATAATGCAATCTTTAAAGCAGAAATCCGAAGGTTCACAAAAGCCATTAGGGCAAAGGCTAGCCTTGGCACTAGACTATTTCTTGGTATGCTTGTCTTCACATTGATGTCCTTATTGTCCTATCAGGTTAGTGATCAATTTAAAAGTATTTGTAAAAATATTTTCTCAGCCGACTGCGGTGGCTCACACCTGTAATTCCAACATTTTAAGAGGCTACAGCAGGAGCATTGCTTGAGCTCAGGAGTTTGAGACCAGCCTGGGCAACATGGTGAAACCATGTCTGTACTAAAATACAAAAAAATTAGGCAGGCATGGCGGCATGTGCCTGTGGTCCCAGCCACTCAGGAGGCTGAGGCAGGAGAATTGCTTGAACCCGGGAGGCGGAGGTTATAGTGAGCAGAGATTGCACTACTGCACTCCAGCCTGGGCAACAGAGCAAGACTCCATCTCCAAAAATAAAAAATAAAAAATAAAAAATAAAATAACCATTCTTGTACACATCGTGTGTGTGTGCGTGTATGTGTGTGTGTGCAGATATACATATGTTTTTATTTCTCTTGGGTAAATATTTAAAAGTAGAATTGCTGAGTGATATAGTCATCATATGCTTAACTTTGTAAGAAACTTCCAAATGGTTTTCTAAAGTGGTTGAACCATTTTATTTATATTCCCACCAGCAATGAAGGTATGAAATTCCACATTCTCATCAACTCTTGGTCATGTCAGTCTTTTAATTTTAGCCATTCTACTCGGTATAAAGTGGTACCTTATTTTGGTTTTAATTTGCATTTTTCTAATAATGAATGATGTTGAGTGTCTTTTCATGTGCTTTTGCCCATTTTGATGTCTTTTTTTCTGAAGTACATGTTTAAGTCTTTTGCCCATTCTTTATGGGGTAGTTTATCATTTTGTTGTTGACTTGTAGTTTTAAAAAATATATTCTTGGCCGGGCATGGTGGCCTGTAATCCCAGCACTTTGGGAGGCCAAGGTGAATGGATCACGAGGTCAGGAGTTCAAGACCAGCCTGGCCAACATAGTGAAATCCCATCTCTACTAAAACTACAAAAATTAGCCGGGTGTGGTGGCATGCACCTGTAGTCCCAGCTAATCAGGAAGCTGAGGCGGGAGAATAGCTTGAACCCGGGAGGCAGAGGTTGCAGTGAGCTGAGACCAAGCCATTGCACTCCAGCCTGGGTGACAGAGTGAGACTCCATCTTAAAAAAGAAAAAGAAATATATATATATATATTCTTTATATAAGTCTTCCAGAAATAATTATTGTGAATATTTTCTCACAGTGAGAAATTAATTTTCTTAATGTCTTTTTATTAGCAGAACAATTTAATTTTGATGAAGTACAGTTTATCTATTTTAATTTTATAGCTAGTGTGGTATTTTTTCCCAAGCTTATTTTCTAAATTTATGTGGCTTTATTAAACTACAGTTAAGTTTTGTATATTGAGCTTTTATCTGCAGACTTTGCTAAATTTACTTCTGACTTATCTGTAGATGATTTTGGATTTTGTATATACACAAACAGGTCATCTGCAGATAATAATAGTTTTTATTTTGTTCAATCCTTATGCTCTTCATTTCTTATTCTTTCTTCCACAGGCTAGACATTAGTATGCTGTGCATTGGAAGTAATGACAGCAAATATCTTTCTCTTGTTCTCAGTCTCAGAAGAGAAGTGCTCAGTATTTCATCATTTAGTATGACGTTTGCTATAGGTTTTTATTGGAGACTCTATCAGGTTAAAAAAATTTCCTTCTATCTCTAGGTTTCTAAGACTTTTAATCTTGAATAGATGTTTAATTTTGTCAAATACTCTGCATTTGTTGACATGATTGTACATTATTTCACCTTTATTCTTCTAATGCGATGGTTGATTTTGAAATGCTAGATTCCTGCTGTGTTCTGGGATAAACTCAAGTTTGTATATTATCATTTTAATACATCATTGGATTATATTTGCTAATATTTTGTTCAAGAATTTGGCATCCAAATTAATGAGAAAGATTGGCCTGTAATTTTCTGTTCATGTAATGCCCTTGTCAGAACAAAACAAATTGGTCTCATAAAACAAGTTGGGAATTGTTCTCTCTTCTTAATTCTCTAGAGAAATTGTTTTAGAGAGTCATGTTATTTCTTCCTTAAATAATTGAAAATTTTATTCTTTAAGCCATTTGTTTAACCTCACTTTTTAAAAGGGGGGCAGCTTTTTAATGATTGATTCTGTTAAACTTTTTCAATAAACTTTTCCATTTAATCTAAAATCTTAAAATTTTGGCATAAAGTTGTTCAGAACCCTTCTTAATCATTGTTTGCTATAGGATCCTTGGTGATATCTCCTCTTTTCTTATTGGTAATTTGTATCCTCCTCTTTTTTTTTTCTTGAACTATATTGTTAGGGGTTTATCAGTTTTTTTTAGTTTATTCAAAGAACCAACTCTTAGTTGATTATTTTTATTGTTCACTTCTCAATTTCATTGATTTCACCTCTTCATTTTTTCAGGCCTTCTACTTTCTTTAGGTTTGATTTGTTATGATTTTTCTAGATCTTAACAGGGATGCTCAGAATATTGATGTTCAGCCTTTCTTCTTTTATAATACATGCATTTAAGACAATACATTTTCCTCTAAAATTGACTCAATCTTCAGCCCATATGTTTTTACATATTTTGTTTTTAACACTTGATTGAAAATATTTTAGAATTTACATTTTTATTTCTTTTTTGACACATGGGCTATTTAGCAATGCGTTGATTAATATTCAAACATTAGGGAATTTTCTAGGTCTCTTTTTGTTATTGATTTCTTGTTTAATCCTACCAGTGACAGAAAGCAAGTTCTATACGATTTCAGGCCTTGAAATTAGTTGAGACTTACATTATGACCCAAAATATGTTCCATTTTGGTAAATGTTCCCTGTACGCTTCAAAAGGGTACACCTTCCATAAATGTCAATTAGGTCAAATTTGTTAATAATGATGCCATTCAATCTATATCTTTACTAACGTTTTGTCTCCTTGTTTTATCAGTTATTGGAAGATGTCATTAAAATCCACAACTACAACTTAGGTGTTCCTCTTTTTTGGTGCTAATAATTTTCATTTTATATATTTCGAGGCCATGATACTTGACGTATACACATGTAGGATTATTATAACTTCCTGTTGAATTAACCATTTTATTATAAAATGTCTCAATCTTTAGTAAGATTTATGACACTAAAGTCTACTCGATCTGATATTTATACAACATAGAAGCTTTCTTTTGATTAGTGTGGACATAGTACAATCTGTTTATCCTTTCACTTTCAACCTTCCTCACATTTAAAGTATGACATTTGGAAGCATCACCAATGAGGCTGATTATTAAATCCGGTCTGAAAATCTTTGTCTTTTAATTGTACTATTCAGTCATTTTATGTTAAATGCAATTATAGATATATTTGAACCTCCTGTTTGACTATTAAGTAATTGTTCCCATTATGGTAAAATTATTAGCTGAATTTCAGCCAAAACCATTGTGTTACTGGTACTGATAGTGGATGAAACTGAAGAAACATATGCCTGCTAATAAATATGGTCAGTGATACATTTTTTTTCTCTCTGGATCTCCGTATTTTTGTTGATTTTGCATACATCTTATGTCTTACATCCTTGTTGATTTTGCTTATGTTAGTTGCTGAAACGAAGTGTCAGAATAAATGTGGCCTTAGAATTAGATTTGGGTCACTGTATCACAAGATTTTAAATCAGGAGTTTGAAAAAGAATGAAGCATAGTCAACCCTTTTACTCTTGTTAAAATAATTGTTGGTAAAAATAGTAAATACATTATCTTTAAAATAATTGTTTATTTCATCTTTATCTCATTCTTTTAAACATTTGGGGGTATTTTTAATACATTTGACACATGAGCAATCTAGCATATGGGTATAATTTATAAATAAACAACTCTACATATGTTGGGGTATAATTTCAAAAAACGCTATTTGTTGAGTTTTGAGTTCAGCTGATTTAGAGTGCTTATAGCTCGATAGAATCAAAACTTGAGTGACGACTTCACTGATAACCTCATCTAACCCTTAGATTTTACAGATAGAGAAACTAAAGCCCTAAGAAATTAAGTGGCTCACCCAAGGTCACAGAACTAATCAGAAGCCCAAATAGAAGCCCAGTTAGAAGCCAGACTCAGCCTCTTACCTCCTGGGCAGTGTTCTTTCACTATAGCAGATCGTCTCATCTCCCATATAACTCTTTGTGCATTTGTGCTCTCTTGATGTGCTGCCTTTGAAATGCGGCTGCATTTTGCCAGCCTCCCTGGATATCAATTTTACTTTTATGTAAGCATTTGGAATGACACCCATACTTACATATATACTGCTGTGCTAAAGGAAAGATAGGTTGAACCACAATAAATATTTGTGTATTAAAATTTAATCATTCAGCCAGGGGTGGTGACTCACGCCTGTAATCGGGAGGCCAAGGCAGGCAGATCACAAGGTCAGAAGATCGAGACCATCCTGGCCAATATGGTGAAACCCCATCTCTACTAAAAATACAAAAATTAGCTGGGTGTGATGGCGTGTGCCTGTAATCCCAGCTACTTGGGAGGCTGAGGCAAGAGAATTTCTTGAACCAGGGAGTCGGAGGTTACAGTGAGGCAAGATCGTGCCACTACACTCCAGCCTGGCGACAGAGCTAGACTCCATCTCAAAAAAAAAAAAAAAATTAATCATTCATAGAAAAGTTGGTTTCTACCTCCTGAGGTTCTGATGTTACCTTTGGTGAATGAATAAAGTCATATTCTGAAGATTGCAGAGGTAAACTGTCTTATAGCATTTTTCCTTACATGAAATGAACTGCTGCTAAGAATATGCTTTCAATCTTTATTGTGGGTTGTTAATGACCAGAATCCATAACCTTTCATTAGTGAAAAATGCTAATAACTGCCTAAACACAATTAATCATGAAGCTTTTCCAAGCAGCCATGATCATTGGCTTTTCATTTCATTAAATAAGCATCCGATTGAACTTTCTGCAGCTGTTTGAAATATGAATTTATTTGGGGAAGGAAATTTAACATGGGCTGTTGATGAGTCTTTTCTTTATAATTCCTAAAACAATGTTCCAGAAGGAGCAGCATTGACACTCCTCAGCAGGAAGTACTCAATCACGTTCCTAACAGTGGCATTTGTTCCTTCCGTTTCTGGCCCTCCGCTGAATATATTCTTGATTAAATGAAGTTAGGAGATTTCTTTGCTTTTTCTGACAACCAGAGTTTGAACCAGTGCTCTAGCAATTAAGGAGGTTGAGCATAAAAAAGTTTCAGCAATATCTAATATTTTACCCATTAATGTTTTTCTGAACCAGAATTCTCCCCTCCCTTCTCTTTTCCTCTTTCTTCCTGTGGGTGCCTGCGTATAGTAAAATCAAGTTTGTTTAAGCAGTTGATTTTACCTGAGAAATGATTTAATTATCTTTTTTATTATAGTCTAAAATTGAGAAAGAACTGATGCAAGGTGATACCTTTTATAAACTCATCCCTCCAGAAGAGATTAAAAATACAATTACTCAAGGCTACATTGATAACAACAAAACCAAACCAAAACCAAATCCAAAACCAAACAAATAACTGGAAGTATCATTTGCCTCTGAAGAGACAAACAAATGGTTAATTGCTGAAGTTTTGCACTTTTCAACTGAGTCTTGAGAAATTAATATAATCACAGGATTCAAGGAGATATTACTATTCAGAACAGCATTTCAAAAAAGACATTTGAACAAAATAAAAAAAAGAAAAAGAAAAAAGATATTTGTATTGAAACTTTGGTTACTAGAATGAGTACCAGAAATAGTAGTGTAGGGGGTTTCTTCTTCAATGCCTGATGAGGTTACTCTTCTCACCTTAGAAGTGACATTAACCATTGGCATACTCAGGAAATAGAGTTGATGCACGTATTCAGCGTTTTTTAAAGTATTATGTCTCTTACTGAAGAGGAGATACTTTAGGAGTCAGCAGTTGGCAAGTAACCTTTTTCCCCAAAGGTGTGATGGTGTGTTATTATTAAATATACACACAGTCATAATATTAGTGCTTCACACGGCAGCTTTATAGTAATTTACATATTTTACTCTAGTAAGCTTTCTAAAACCATAAAGAATTTTTCTTTTTTTCCTCATAAAGGCCAATAGAGGCATACCAAAATATAATATAGTCAGTAATTGACTGTAATGTTGCTGCTTTGCAGTTGAAAATGCTAAATAATATCTATCTGAATCTATTAATATCTATGCAGACTTACCCGCATCAACTTTGTTTCAATGGTGGGATTATTATTAATTATAAATGTGTGCTGTTATAACTAGAAAATCTAGCCAAACAGAGGTATTGTAAAAGAAGCAAATGTTTTAACATGGCTTTAGAAGCAATGGAAACATTACTTGACCTTGTTTTCTTTTCTTTGTTTCTTATTCCATAGCTTAGAATAGGAAGTAGCAGAAGTTAAGACACTCTGATTGTCAGGGCTTTAAATGTTTAGGGAAGTGAGATAAGGTTTCTATAAGTTCATAGCAAGTGAAGACTTGCAAATTAGCAGGTGTTAGTATTTAAAGGGACGTTTCTTTAACTCCCTTCATTTTAGTGATAAGTAAACTGAAGCCCAGAGACGTTAAATGACTTTACAGCTCAGTAAAGCTGGAATTTGAACCCAGGTCTTTGGGACCCCCTGAGGCCAGTACACTTTCTGCATTTCACACTGCCTTCTGTGCAGACTGAGAATACCGGTTTTGGCATTGCCACTGACATGCCAGGTGAGCCATCAAGTTGCTTAAGTTTCCTGAACAAAGAGCACTTCCAAAGAAGTTCGGTTCAGTAATGCACTACCGTAGTGAATTTGACCCTGTTGTCACCAAGTGATGAAAAACTTTCCATCAACTTGTTAGTTCCCTGGAAAATCTATGGCTCCACCCATAAATTTAACTTAGTGTCCTCTGTTGTCTGAGAGTACTGAAACCATAGTATGAAGCGTATTATATATATAGTTACCTTCACATTCATTTTTGTAAAATTAGTTTTGTTCATATTTGTTTTTACTTGATTGATGGTAGCAAACCTGGCAAGAGATAGTGAGACCTTCCACAAAATATGTCTGTATTGGGATGTAGTAAAAGATTGTTCCTAAGCCTATCTACAATGATTGCAGCATGCAACTCCGGAAACCAAAAAGGCACCAGTGCGGGAACAGGTCCTCCAAGGACACAAAGAATGCTAATGTTGAGGAACAGCTTCCCCATCCATTCCTGGAGACATGACACCACTTCCAACCACTTCAAAGTAGCTAAGGGTTGGGGAACCTTTTTCAGGTTGTCTCTATAAAAGTAGGTATTATAAAAACCAAATACTTCAACAGCTTTGGGGATAAGAGAAGAGTTATTGCTTCCTTCACTTTGTGGAGCTGATGAGTTTTGGAAGATAGTGGTGAAAAAAATCAATACTGGATGGTTCTTGAAAAAAAATAGCTTTTGCTATATTTCTGGGAAGGAAGACTTTTGCAGTGAGCAGCTCAAATTAATGACATTAGTCTCTCTGACCCCTAGGTTGCGTGAAATAAGCCCTTGGATCTCTTATTCCCTTTGATTATTTTTTTAAACAATGACATATTTCAGATAACCACAAAAACACAGAGAATAATATAATCAACACCTGTTATATGTAACACATCTCAACCTTTTGCCGTACACATTTCTTTCTAGAGGTTTTATTTTTTTTGGATAATCAAACCGATTACAGACCTGAAGCCACTTTGTTACCCTTTTCTGATCTAATTCCCATATCTTGCTCCTCAGAGGAGCTTTACTGGGTGCATTTTAATGCTATTCCTACATATTTACTTATCCATAAACAATATATAGTATTGTCTTGAGCAGTTTTAAAGTTCACATAAATGGTATCATACTGTACATAAAATTCTCCAACTTGCTTTTTTCATTCAATGTTGTTTTAAATATTTAAACACGTAGATACACATTACTCTGATTCATTTTAATGAATGTGCCACATTCCAGTATGTGAAAATTGAATATTTACTTCTTTGCTTCTAAAAACAGTGTTGCATTGAGCAGCTTCGTACAGTGTCTTCTTGGGCAGCTGTGTGAGATTTTCCTTTAGGATAAATACCTACAAGTGCAATTGCTGGGGTGTAGGGCAAAATTATCCTGAGCTTTACTGGATACTAAATTGGCTTGTCAAGTTGTGGCAATTTATACTTTCATCAGAAGTATACAAAAATTCTTTTTCCATATTCTTGCCAATATATTGCTGAAACGATATTATAAAACTGTTTGATTTTTGTTTGTTAATTTGATGGTCATGAAATGATATTTTATATTTCTTTTATTACTAGTGCTATCTTGCAGCTGTACATGTTTCTTAGAGGTCCTGTATCCCTTTTACAGTCAAGTTTTTGGATGGGTCATGTATTTATTTCTTTTGAATGAGTTTCTTTTTCATTTTTAGGTAATCAAATTTCTTAGTTTTTTAGAGGGATCTGGATTTTGAGTCATAGGAAACTTTTCCCTCTCTAAAGTTATGAAGAAATTCTCATTTATATTGTTTTATATATATGGCTTCATATTGAACATTTAAATATTTGACTCACTTGACATTTATTCTGATATAAGATATGAGATATGTTTTTTCATATGGCTATGAAGTTGTCCTAACAATACTTTTTTTTTTTTTACAAATATGTCTTTATACCAATGATTTGAGATACTGCCTTTATAATATACTAAATTCCAGTGTGCATTTGGGTCTGTTTTGACTTCATTCTATTCCACTGATCTGTCTCTTCATGCACTGCTACCATGCTATTAATATTTTAATTACCGAGACTTTACTATATTTTAATTCTATCAATTTCTATTTTATAGATGTTTTTAAAATGCGTTTTGAGTTTTGTCAAATTCTTTTTCAGCATCAGTGAGGATCATACCATTTTTTTTCCTTAGATCTATTGCTACATAAACAGATTTCTAGTAGTGGGACATTATTGCATTTCTGGAATAAATTCCACTTGGTTATGAAGTATCATTCCTTTAATGTGCTGATATATAATGATTAGCTATTTTTATTCAGAAATTTTACATTGTTATTCAGAAGTGCAATTGGCCTATAGATTGGCCTATATCGTTGTTATATCTTTATCAGATTTTAATAACAATGTTATACTGAAAAATACAGTGTTGGAAATTAAGAACTAATGGTATGACTTTAGCAGCAAAATGGATACTGCAAAAGATAGGATTAGTGAACCTGAAGACAGGTCAATAGAAAATACCCAAACGGAAGCACAGAGAGAAATAGAAAAGAATGGGGAAAAAATAGAACAGCCAAGTGGGACACAGTCAGAAGGTCAACATACATGTAACTGGAGTCTCAAAAGTGGAGGAGGAAGAATGGAGTAGAAAATATTTTAAGCAATAATGGCTGAGAATTTTCCAGAAATGATACATGACCTTAATCCAGAGGTTTATAAACACTGAGCAAGCCTGTGGTGGTACAAGTACAAAGAAAACCAAACTTAGGCATATTATGGTTAAATGGCTGAAATCTAAAGCAAAGAGCACATTATAAAAGTACCCAGAGAAAAAAGATACATTACCTTAACAGGAACACTAAGAATACTGATGGCAAAATTTTCTGCTGAAATTATGGAAGCTGGAAGACAGTCAAATGGCACTGTTGAAGCACTGAAAGAAAACAATGCAAATTTATACCACTTTTAAAGTATTCTTTAAAAGTGAAGACAAAAGAAAGATATTTGCAGACAAAAAAAAGCTGGAAAATTTGTGTAGAACTCTTGAATGGCATTGTTTTCACCTTTGTCATATTGAAGATATCATTCCATTATTTTTTAGTTTCCATTGTTTCAGTTCAAAAGTTAGGTGTAATTCCAAGTGTGGAAACTTTAAAAATAATGTTTTTTTCCTCAGGCTGCTTTCAGGATTTTTTCTTTGTCTTTGGTTTTCTTCAGTTTCACTGCAATATATTCAGGTCTGATTTTTAAAAAATTTATCCAATTTGACTTTCACTGGCCTTTTGAACTGTGAACTGATGTCTTTAATTCCAAACAAAATTCTTAGCCATCATCTTTTGAAATACTGTCTTTGCTTCATTATCTCTTTCCTCTCCTTCTGAGAGTTTCCAATTCAATACTTTTAGACCTTCTAACTTTATCTTCCTTGTATCTTATCCACTGTATTTTTCATATATTTTTATTTCTTCATATTGCCTTTTGTGTTTTCTGAACTACCTCCCATTTCACTAATTTGTCATGAAAAATAATAAAATTATTTTATTAAATATTTATTTTGAATTTTTTCTAATTTAGACTATTTTATTTCTGTAGGTCCTAGAGTGTGGCTTTTTTCAAAATTTTTAAAGATCTTATTGATTTTCTATTTCCTACATATGGCTTCAGCAATCCATTTGTTTCTTTAAACATAGTATGTATAATTGGTTCATAGTTTCTATCTGATGATTCCTAGTGTCTGATATTTTTGTGGGCCTATTTCCATTTTTCTTGTACCTGCTGGTTCCAACACATGGAGTTTTATTTCCTTGCATTGCATCATTATGTTTTGGTTATGTGCTTTTTAAACAACATTGAAAATTTTGAAACTTTGGATGCAAGTACCTTTCCCCCCCCAAAAAATTGAGTTTCTTTCACCAAGTGTCTAACCAGTCAATAATTATCAAATTCAAGGTTTGAAGTTATTTGCAAGACATAGGCAATTCCAGCATGGTATTCAACTCTGTACTAAGGCTAATCTACTTCCAGTTCACCCTCATCTTGAAAGCATAGTTCTTTTTTTTTTTTTTTTTTTTTTCTTCTTTATTTGAGACAGAGTTTTGCTCTTGTTGCCCAGGGTAGAGTGCAATGGGACGATCTTGGCTCACCACAACCTCCGCCTCCCGGGTTCAAGTGATTCTCCTGCCTCAGCTGCCTGAGTAGCTGGGACTACAGGCATGCGCCACCATGCCCAGCTAATTTTGTATTTTTTAGTAGAGATGGGGTTTCTCCATGTGGATGAGGCTGGTCTTGAACTCCCGACCTCGGGTGATCTGCCTGCCTCGGCCTCCCGAAGTGCTGGGATTACATGCATGAGCCACCACAACCAGCAGAAGGCATAGTTCTTTGAGTATTAACTTATTTGGAGGAGGGGTTTTCTCTTTGGTTTAAGCCAATTAATTTATGAAAAGGTGTTCAACACCATCCATAATTAAGGATATTCCAATTAAAGTAACAATGAGTTTTCACTTATCAGATTGTTACATTTCACTCAAAGAAAGTTTAAAAGTTGACAAGAGTGCATACCTTTTTTTTGGAAAGGATGTGCATGAAAATATTGACAGTTCTTACCTCTAAAAATCAGACTTGGAGTTAGGTGAAGGGGAGAAATATATTTTTTAGTTTCATTGTATTTGCTTTTATAGTACTTGAAATTTTGACTCTCTATATAAGTTTTTGAAATAAAAATTTTAAAGTCAAATGCCTAGATGCTTACTTTTTCTTTCTTTGGGGAAAGTTTTTTCTGCATCCAAAGTTATTGAGCCTAAAGAACATTTAAAATGTATAAAGGGTTGTTGATTTCCTGAATGACTGGTTCATACAACAGTGAATGGAGCAGAAATGTTTGCTAAAAAATAAGATACAAGTAATGATGCTTTAAAACTTTAGCAACATAAATCAACAAAACATTCATGGTATTTCGATATTTATTTTTTCTATATGATGTCAGAGTAATGCACCTGCTGTGACATTGCAGAGATCAAATCAAATATAGTTTATAGGTTTGTGTCTTCTTGAAAACTCACTTATATACTAAGAATCAAGGTAATTGGTGCATCCTGAATAAAGTCAGGGGCTTAAATTGCTATACTGAATAAAGATATTCCTAATATTTAAAATTTTTAAATTTTTAATACAATTTTTGTCTTCTTTTTATGTGGCCACTATCCAGACATGTCAGGGGTGTGTGTGTGTGTGTGTATGTGTGTGTGTGTTTCTTTTGTTTTGTTTTGTTTTGTTTTGTTTTAATTGCTGTTTAGGGATGTGGTTTCTTTTAAGTAGTCAGTTTTCTATTTTTGAAGTTACTGAATTTTCCCTCCTGATCACTGTTCTCAAATGGACTTAAATTCTCTCATATTGAGCAGCTCTTCTTAAGTATAGTTGGTACAAGCATTTTTAAGAATGACAAATCAAGCTCATGCATGAGCTAAAGATGAGGCATAGAGTAAAATTCTATAACTCGATTGCTCTCCTGGTCAGGCTGTAGGATTGAAAGCTATTTACAAAAAAGAAAAAGTTTTGGAGTGCCCACAACAACAATACATATTTTATATATTTCTTACAATGACCAGGCAAGATAGCTTGATTTTTCTATAACTGCACCAAGCATAATATTTGTTTTCTGATCATATCTTATCTCTGAACTGATGGGGGTACAGTGGAAAGAATGAAATCCTGATGCTTATGCTATTTTGCCTAACTTCAGCTTGAAAAAAAGATAGCCTAGGTGTGTAATTTTAGAATAAATCTTGAAGTGTGTTTGTACTTTGTTAATTCCTAGGTGAAAAGGTGTTTGTATCTCTCTATGGAGCTGCCATAGACATGAATATAAGGCTGGATAA